>NC_000004.12:80588047-80739562 GCF_000001405.40 Homo sapiens | reverse complement strand
TTAATATGTCTGGCAGCACACTTTTCAGTGGAAACCTTACAGGCCAAGAGAAAGTGGCATGACATATTTAAAATGATGAACGAAACAAACAAACAAACAAAAACAAAAAATGAAAACCACTTTTACCCTAGAATAGTATATCCAGTGAAAATATCCATCAAACATCAACAAATAATCCAAGATAAACAACAGCTGAGGGATTTCATCAATACCAGACCTGACGTGCAAGAAAGGCTAAAGAGAGTTCATAAATTAGAAAGAAAATAATGCTAAAGAGCAAGAATTAATTATCTGAAGATTCAAAATGCACTGGTAATAGTAAGCACATAGGAAAACACAGAATAGTATAACACTGTAACTGTGGTGTGTAAACTATTCTTGACTTAAGTAAAAAGATTAAAGGATAAACCAATGAAAACCAATAACTAAAACAACTTTTCAAGACATGGACAGTACAATAATACATAAAGAGAAAGAACAAAAAGTTAAAAAGCAGGGGGACGAAACTAAAGTATAGAGTTTTATCAGCTTTCTTTTTGCATGTTTGTTTGTTTGTTTATGCAATTTGTGTTAAGTTGCCATCAGTTCAAAATAATGGGTTATAAGATAGTACCTGCAAGCCTCATGGTAACCTCAAACCAAAAATATACAATGGATACACACACAAAAAAATTAAAAAACTAAGAAATTAAAGTATAACACCTGGGAAAATCACCTTCACTAAAAGGAATACCAGGAAGAAAGGAAAGAAGAAAGAGAAGACTCCAAAACAACCAGAAAACAGATAATAAAATGGCAAGAATAAGTTGCTACTTATTAAAAATAACATTGAATTTACGTAAATGTACTAAACTCTCCCAGCAAAGACATAGAGTGGTTGAAAGGGTTAAAAAAAAAAAAGACCCAATGATTTGCTGCCTACAAGAAACATAATTCACCTATAAAGTTCACAGAATGAAAACAAGGGATCTAAAAAAATATTCCATGTCAGAGGAAACCAGAAAAGAGCAGGAGCAGCTATCCTTATACCAGACAAAACAGATTTCAAGAAAAAAACTATAAGAGGAGACAAAGAAGGTCATTATACAATGTTAAAGGGTTCAGTTCATCCAGAGGATATAGTGATCTTAAATTCATAAACATCCAACACTGGTCCAAGCCGATATATAAAGGAAACATTATTAGAGCTAAAGAGAGACACAGACCCAAATAAATAGTATCTGAAGACTTCAACACCCCACTTTCAGCATTGGACAGATCTCCTAGACAGAAAATCAACAAAGAAACATTGGACATTACTATCTTTACTATAGAACAAATGTACCTATTAGATATTTACAGAATATTTCATCCAATGGCTGCAGAATACACATTCTTCTCCTTAGCACATGGCTTATTCTCAAGGATAGTCCATATGTTAGGTCACAAAATAAGTCTTAAAACATTCAAAAAATTGAAATAATAGCAAGCTTCCTCTCTAACCACAATGGAATAAAACTAGAAATGAATAACAAGTGGAATTTTGAAAACTATACAAACACACTAGAATTAAACAATACGCTCCTGAATGACTAAAGAGTCAATAAAGAAATTAAAATGGACATCAATAAATTTTTGGAAACAAGTGATAATTAAAACTCAACATACCAAAATCTCTGGGATACAGTGAAAGCAGTACTAAGAGGATCGTTTATAGCTATAAGTGTCTACTTTTAAAAAGAAGAAACATTCACCAACCTGAAGTTGTTGACCTCTGAAATAAAAAACTGGGTTTTAAAATTTATTTTTATTTTTTTCTTCTTTTTAATTTTTTTCTTCTTTTTTTGTTTGTTTAAAAAGTGGTTTTCTGAAAGATAAACAAAGTTGATAAACCTTCATCCAGACTAAGAAAAAAAGACAGAGGATACTAAGATTAGAAATGAAAAAGGAGACATTACAACTGATATCACAGAAATTCAAATTATCATTAATGGCTACTATGAGCAACTAAATGCCAATAAATTGGAAAATCTAGAAGAAATGTATTAAGTTCCTAGACACATAAACCTACAAAGAATGAACCATGAAGAAATCTAAAACCTGAACTGACCAACAACAAGTAACGAGATCAAAACATAATAAAATATCTCCCAGAAAAGAAAAGCCTGAGAACTGATGGATTCACTGCTGAATTCTACCATACTTTTAAAGAAGAAATAATACCATTCTTTTTTCTGCTTTTTTATTTTATTTTTTTTTCATTTATTATTATTATACTTTAAGTTTTAGGGTACATGTGCGCAATGTGCAGGTTAGTTACATATGTATACATGTGACATGCTGGTGCGCTGCACCCACTAACTCGTCATCTAGCATTAGGTACATCTCCCAATGCTATCCCTCCCCCCTCCCCCCAACCCACAACAGTCCCCAGAGTGTGATGTTCCCCTTCCTGTGTCCATGTGTTCTCGTTGTTCAGTTCCCACCTATGAGTGAGAATATGCGGTGTTTGGTTTTTTGTTTTTGTGATAGTTTACTGAGAATGACGATTTCCAATTTCATCCATGTCCCTACAAAGGACATGAACTCATCATTTTTTATGGCTGCGTAGTATTCCATGGTGTATATGTGCCACATTTTCTTAATCCAGTCTATCATTGTTGGACATTTGGGTTGGTTCCAAGTCTTTGCTATTGTGAATAATGCAGCAATAAACATACCTGTGCATGTGTCTTTATAGCAGCATGATTTATAATCCTTTGGATATATACCCAGTAATGGGATGGCTGGGTCAAATGGTATTTCTAGTTCTAGATCCCTGAGGAATCACCACACTGACTTCCACAGTGGTTGAACTAGTTTACAGTCCCACCAACAGTGTAAAAGTGTTCCTATTTCTCCACATCCTCTCCAGCACCTGCTGTTTCCTGACTTTTTAATGAATGCCATTCTAACTGGTGTGAGATGGTATCTCATTGTGGTTTTGATTTGCATTTCTCTGATGGCCAGTGATGGTGAGCATTTTTTCATGTGTTTTTTGGCTGCATAAATGTCTTCTTTTGAGAAGTGTCTGTTCATGTCCTTCGCCCACTTTTTGATGGGGTTGTTTTTTTTTTCTTGTAAATTTGTTTGAGTTCATTGTAGAATGTGGATATTAGCCCTTTGTCAGATGAGTAGGTTGCGAAAATATCTACAACTATCTGATCTTTGACAAACCTGAGAAAAACAAGCAATGGGGAAAGGATTCCCTATTTAATAAATGGTGCTGGGAAAACTGGCTAGCCATATGTAGAAAGCTGAAATTGGATCCCTTCCTTACACCTTATACAAAAATCAATTCAAGATGGATTAAAGACTTAAACGTTCGACCTAAAACCATAAAAACCCTAGAGGAAAACCTAGGCATTACCATTCAGGACATAGGCATGGGCAAGGACTTCATGTCTAAAACACCAAAAGCAATGGCAACCAAAGCCAAAATTGACAAATGGGATCTAATTAAACTAAAGAGCTTCTGCTCAGCAAAAGAAACTACCACCAGAGTGAACAGGCAACCTTCAAAATGGGAGGAATAATACCATTCTTACTCAAACTTCTGAAAAATAGAGAAAGGAATACTCCCAAGGTAATTCTGAGAGGCCAGTATTACCCTGATACCAAAAAAAGAAAAAGACACATCAAAAAAAGAAAACCAAAGACCATTATCCCTGATGGACATTTATGTAAAAAACCTCAACAAAATACTATCAAACTGCATTCAATAATACATTAAAAAGATTATTCATGATGACCAAGTGAGATTTATCCCAGGAATGCAACAATACTTCAACATATGCAAATCAATCAATCTGATATATCTTATCAACAGAATGAAGGACAAAAACCATATGATCATTTTGACTGGTGCTGAGAAAGCATTTAATAAAGTTGAACATCCCTTCATGAAAGAAACTCTTAAAAAACTGGATATAGAAGGAACATATTATAACATAATAAAAGCCATATATGATAGACCCACAGCTAGTATCTTATTGAATAGACAAAAATTAAGAGCTTTTACTTTTAAATGGAACACGACAAGGATGCTCACTTTTACCACTGTTATTCAACATAGTACTGGAAGTTCTAGCTAGAGCAATCAGAAGAAAGAAAGGAATAAAGAACATCCAAATTGGAAAAGAAGAAGTCAAATTATCCTTGTTTACTCATGATATGATCTCACATTTTGAAAATCCTAAAGACTCCACCAAAAAAACTATTAGAAGTAATAAACTCAGTAATGTTGCAGTATACAAATTCAACATAAAAATCCGGTAGCATTTCTATATGCTGACAGTGAACAATCTGAAAAAGAAATAAAGTGATCTAATTTACAATAGCCACAAATAAAATTAAATACTTAGGAATTAACCAAATAAGTGAAGCATCTATACAATGAAAATTATAAAACACTGGTGAAAGAAATTGAAGAAGACACACAAAAAAGGAAAGATATTCCAGTTCATGGATAGGAAGGATCAATATTGTTAAAATATTCATACTGCCTAAAGCAATCTACAGATTCAATGCAATTTGTATCAAAATACCAGTGACATTTTTCACAGAAATAGAAAAAGCAATCATAAACTTTCTATGGAATCACAAATAACCCAGAATAGCCAAAGCTATCCTGAGCATAAAGAACAAAGTCACATTATCTGGCTTAAAATTATACTACAGTGCTACAGTAACAAAAGCAGCATGGTACTGGCACACAGACACATAGACCAATGGACAGAATAGAGAACCCAGAAAGGAATCCACACACTACAGTGAACTCCTTTTCACCAATAGTGCCAAAAACGTACAATGGGGGAACGACAGTCTCTTCAATGATCAGTGCTGGGAAAATTGGATATCCATATGCAGAATAATAAATCCTGACCCCTATGTATTGTCATATACAAAAGTCAAATCAAAATTGATTAAAGACTTAAATCTAAGACCTCAAACTATGAAACTACTACATAAAACACTGGGGAAACTCTCCAAGACATTGGTCTGGGCAAAAATTTCTTGAATAATATTCCACAAGCACAGGCAACCAAAGCAAAAATGGGCAAACGGGATCACATCAAGTTGAAAAGCTTCTGCATAGCAAAGGAAATAATCAACAAAGTGAAGAGACAACCCACAGAATGAGAGAACCCATTTGCAAAATACCCATCTGACAAGTGATTAATAACCGAATATAGAAGGAGCTCAAACAACTCTATAGGAAAAAATCTAATAATATAATTAAGAAATGAGCAAAAAATTTGAATAGACATTTCTCAAAAGAAGTCATACAAATGGCAAGCAGGCATATGAAAAGGTGTTCAACATCACTGATCATCAGAGAAATGCAAATCAAAACTACAGTGAGATATTATCTTAGCCCAGTTAAAATGATTTTACCCAAAAGTCAGGCAATAGGAAATGCTGGTGAGGATGTGGAGAAAAGGAAACCCTCATCCACTGTTGGTGGGAATATAAATTAGTACAACCACTCTGGAGAACAGTATGGAGGTTCCTTAAAAAACTAAAAATAGAGCTATTATACAATCTACCAATCCCACTGTTTGGTATATATCCAAAAGAAAGGACATTGGTACATCAAAGAGATATCTGTACTGCCATGTTTGTTACAGCACTATTCACAATAGCTAAGATTTGGAAGCAACCTAAGTGTCCATCAACAGATGAATGGATAAGGAAAATGTAGTACTTATACACAATGGAGTACTATTCAGTCATAAAAAACAATAAGATTCTATCATTTGCAACAACATAAATGGAACTGGAGGTCATTATATTAAGTAAAATAAGCAAGCCATGGAAAGGCAAACATCACTCAGTGTCACATATTTGTGGGATCCAAAAATCAAAAGAATTGAAGTTCTGGAGATTGAGATTAGAGGAATGGTCACAGAGGCTGGGAAGAGTAGTGGGAGGCAGGGAATGGGGTAAATTAGGGAAGCTTAATGGATACAAAAAAAGTTAGAAATAATGAGTAAGACCTAGTATTTGATAGCACAATATGTGACTATAGTCAATAATAATTTAATTGCACATTTTAAAACTAAAAGAGTAGAATTGGATTGTTTGTACGACAAAGGATAAATGCTTGAGGGGATGGATATCCAATTTTCCATGATATGATTATTATGCATTGCATACCTGTACCAAAATATCTCATGTACCCCATAAATATATGCACCAACTATTAATGCACAAAAATAAAAAATTACAAAGAATGCTATTTAGATACCTCTTACTTTATTCCCTGTTTAGTGTCCTACATTAAGCTGAGACAATATTAGGTTTTCATTAAAATTGGCATACATTAAAAGAGTAACTTAGTAGTTCATTAAAAGTTTATTTGCATGATTTACCAGTTTTAAGTCACATCCAATATCCATTCATAGGCTTTCAGTTTTAGTTCAAGCTGGTAGATATATGTAGACCTCAAAATTATTATCAGTAAAATTTATTATATGATTATCTCAAAATTATAGCCACATACAGATGATAAGCAACAGTAGTTACAATATCAGTGTGAGCACAATTTATACTGATTTAGTAATAACACATGTGTATTACTGATAGTTGTGATGATAATCTATGCCAAGCACATTAATAAGGCTTATATCATCAAGAGTTAGAAAACACTGCTAAATTTATTTTCACTACTCTCAGCAGATAATGAAAATTTATATTGAAGTTCTTCCTTTTTGCTTCCTTTCCTAAATATCATCGTTGAAGATCCATTATATAAGAGAATCTTTTCTAGTACGAGGAACATATAGGGGAATGAGCCCAACATCTAGAGAAATACAGAAAAGAATGTAGAAAATAACAATGCCATGTGATAAATACTTAGTGTGGAGGACCCAGGAAAGAGTGTCAAGCAAGACTTTCCTAGAAGAAATAACTGATCTTGAAGAGAGAAGAGTTTGTGATGGAAGGAAGAGAAAGATAAGGACCATTAGAGACAATTGCTTTTCAGCTTCTAAAAGCCAAATTGGGAAAAATTAGAATTAAAGAATAGAATGTACTATTCAAAAGAATTTCTCTCCAGTTGCTGTTTTTTTCTAAGTAGATGGAAACTCAGATACATTTTCTACCTAACCCTTGTATGAGACAGCACTATCTTTTGTGTTTGCAGTCAAAAATTAATTTCTTAATTATTAAAAATGAAAGAAATCAAGGTCAATGTGTAATGGAAGAAGAGTCATGCTATGCATCTGGAAAAAAGTAAGCAGAAACTCGTAGTTTAAGGTGTGTGATTCTTAAAACAAACTTCCAGAGTATCTATGGCTTTTCTCCAAATAAACAGCAAGATTTATGAGGGAAAACCATGAAACTGAATCACTTCCTTCAAATACTCTATGATTTCTGGAACATTTCCAATCAGATTGGTCTTTTTTCCTGCTTAGATTGTCTACACTCAAAACACACAACACTGTGTGTGTGTGTGTGTGTGTGTGTGTGTCTGTGTGTCTGTGTGTCTGTGTATGAATGCAGGGAAATCTTTGCATTGCACTTTTAAGGAGAAATAGTCTACAATAAGGACAAAATTCTATGGATGCTTTTAGTAACAGGCAATTAAGGGTTGTATCTTATAACAAAAACATGACAAACTGATAAATTTAAAATTATGGATTATAAAAACAAATCAGGAAAGGGCCATGTTGAGGGTTGGTGAGATTTTTTTAAATCAGGGATTTTCTAGAATTCTGTACCTAGAAAATGAACAGGTAATAATCATGACATTATGAGAAAAACCATGAATAGCTGATAAACATCAACTCAGCCAAAGACTTCCATAGTTTTAGGCCAATGAACTTAAAAATGTAAGGTCACATACTATTTGATTGTGGTAAAATCAGGGAAATTTTTTTCTTGCCATTGGCAAATTGAGCTTGTCATGGCATGCTGAATGAGAGAGAGAAGAGGGGAAGAGGTGAGCAGATGGAGTTGCACTGGTAACAGCCAGTGATAAGGGGATTAAGTGAAAACAAAAACATGTTAAGAAACAACTGCACCTGCACCCATTAAAGCTTGAAATGGCCAGTGGGCCCGATGGAAACCAGAATGCTTGACTCCTTCTAATTTGAAAGTTATTTTACAAGCCATTATTGGGCATTTCCGCATGCATGCCTCCATTTTTATTATCAGTGGAGGTTTCAAGGAAAAATTGCCAAGGGGCATTTTTTAAATGCAGAAGATTTGGTGATTTTACTGTGCCTGTTTTTGTTTACTCACATATTCTAAGTTAACACGTATTTTAGCAACATGGGACCCCCTCGTACCAGCTTCAGTATGTGAGTTGATATGGCATTTTAAAATTTTCATCAGAAGTTAAAATAAAATAAAATAAATAAAATAGGCACCCACTGCTCTCAAAAGATTATTCTTTATATTTTCCAAAATGGAAAGTAGGTTTCATCTTTAAAAATATACTCAGGTAAAACAGGCACATAGCATTAGATATCATGTTTGTGAGTCAGTGTGTCTATCAAATAATATGTATAATAATAAGATATTGCAAAAATAGTAGATAGTACATTAACACCAAGGAGCTGCTAGTTGCCACCTCAGGAAGTCTTCTCAGAGGATGGACTAAATAGGAAGAATAAAGGCATGTGCAAAGGCAGGATAAAATGAAATAACGGTGTCTGTGGGAATTTCCAAATAGTTCAATATTTTAGCAGTATAATTAAGCTAATGGCAGCCAATGAATGCATTGCAAAGAGGCACAGTGGTTGTAGAGAACAACGTATTAGTTATACATTGCCCCAAATTACCTCAAAATTTAGCAGTTTAAAATAGCAAACATCTATTATCTGACAGTTTCTGTGAGTCAAGACTCTGGACCCTACCTAGGTTACCTTTGTCTCAAGGTCCCTAATGAGATTGTAGTCAAGCCATTGGCCAAGGCAGCAGGCATCTTAAGGCTTGACTGGGAGTGAAGAATCCACTTCACAGCTCACTGAAGTGGGACTTTGTTTTGAATGAAACTTTTTTTTTTTTTATCAGCTTAGCTGGTAGCCACTGTGCCCAGCAGCCACCAGAGGCCCTAACAAAAGAGCTCCAGCAAGGGATTCACCTGCATAGGTCTCTCTGGGGGAGCCTTGCCTTCATGGGTAGGGTTTTAGGCATGGCCTCAGTGACACAACCACAATGTGGAAGTGTAAGAGTGTTCTGTGCTTATAGACCCTGGGGGATACACTGATACACTGCCTGCCCGGAGGTCAGGTCATACACACACACACACACACATACACACACACACACACACACACACACACACAGAGAGAGAGAGAGAGAGAGAAAGAGAGACCTTCAGAGTACACAGGCAGGGAAAAAAGAGAAGGAAGCTGTGGAGCAATGCCTCCATTGGGTCCAGGGCATTATGGGTTTAAAGCAAGCAGGCACTCATTCCAGGAGGTCATGATGTGACTGAGAGTTGGTCCATGTAAGTTTTCAGGCAAATGTCTGAATGGTCTATTTGAAGGAAGCAGCAAAAAAGCAGAGAGCCCAGCCTGCTTAGAGAGACACCTCTAAATTTTTATCTCTGGCCACCAGCTGGAGACATCCAGGTGGGGTATAGTTTTGGAAACTGTGTCAAGGTAAACTTAAATTTAAAAATAGATGCTGGGCCGGGTGCTGTGGCTCATGCCTGTAATCCCAGCACTTTGGGAGGCCGAGGCGGGCAGATCACGAGGTCAGGAGATCGAAACCATCCTGGCTAACATGATGAAATGCCGTCTCTACTGAAAAATACAAAAAAAAATTAGCCAGGTGTGGTGGCAGGCGCCTGTAGTCCCAGCTACTCGGGAGGCTGAGGCAGGAGAATGGCATGAACCCGGAAGGTGGAGCTTGTAGTGAGCCAAGATCTTGCCACTGCACTCCAGCCTGGGAGACAGAGCGAGACTCCGTCTCAAAAAAAAAAAAAAAAAAAAAAAAAGATGCTGAAGCATCATAAAATTATAAGCACTCACCACAACCTGTTCCAAACGCTGCTTATAACACGGCAGCATACTTCCCTCAGGGTGAGTGACCTAAGAGTGCCCAAGAAGGAAGCCACGGTCTTTTTATAATACAATCTCCAGAGTGACATACCATTATTTCTCCCATAATCTATATGTTAGAAGTGAGTCACAAAGTCCAGCCTGCTCAAGGGAACAGGATGACCTAAGTGCATGAATAGTAGGAGGTGTGGATCATTGAGAGCCATCTTAGAGGCTGCCTATCACAAACACCTGTGAATTTATTTTCAGGCATGGGTTAAGGTAGCACTGTTGAGGTTGTGGAATTAGCAACCAAAAGAGTGTGGAGCTGGCAATTGTGTAAGTCAAAGCTTGCACACAGAAACTTAACTACTGCTCTGCCTAAGAGAGCAAACTGGTGGCCTCAATTGCGTGGATGACTAGAGAATCTATGAAGCCTTCTTGAACAGACCCAGAGCGACAGATACATACTTAGGGTAGAAACGCAAGATGCATCTGCATTTTATTTTTTTGTAAACTCAACTTCACAGGGGAAAAGGAGAAAAAGAAAAAAGAAAGAAGTGGATCTCTTTTTGTTGTTTGCAGGTTGTGGGGAGCTTTTAGGTATTGCATCTTTTAAAAACTGATGATATCATTGGTGCAAAGGGCAAAGCAAGATATTAGAAAGGTAGACACACACCAGTGAAGATAGGATTCCTCTCTCACACTAAGAAGTTCTGAGGAAGTCATGACATAGAGACCACATTGACAGCAATGGAGACAGAGACTAGGTTGGGTAGCACGCAGTTAGGATAACTGTCTTATCAAGTCCTCAATTTGGGGACTAATGCAGGAACTAAGATAGAGGCAGGAAAGACAGTGAGAAAATATAACTCAAAGATTTTTTAAAAGCAAAATGCATGGGATATGGTGATTGATTACACATAAAGCGTGTGGAAGGAAAGATGGGTGAGGTTAGTTTCCAGGCTTCTGGATTGGTTAATAAGATTATTTTGGGAATATAGAAGAAAATATAAGCTCCAAATAAAGGATATTAGAAATAAATAAATAGAAATTGTGTTCCTGAATAGTTTCATACAGTCAAAAAAATGGAAAAAGAATTAAAAGTAAATTGTGCTACAGGAAAAAGTATTGTTTTTTAAAAAACGAAAATATAATTCACAATAACATTCTCCAGTCTACTGTTTTTGTTGTTGTTCCACAATACTTTTTAGTGTATTATTTCTTTGTCTTTAGAAAATATGAGAAGTGTTAAACCAAAGTTTTGTGGATATGGAAGTTAAGAAAACAGCTCGAAAATTATTTTTTAAAAAAGAATATTCTATAAGTTTTGAAACATAAGGGAATAGAAAAAGGATATTGTGCAACAAATCATATGAGTTGATAAATAACTTACTGAGCTTTGACAATGGAAATACTGAGGATCATTTCTTTTCCAACCCAGTTGGAAAACATTTTGTTATTAATTTTGAAATTGCAATGTTTCAGAGGAAAAACCCTGACATCTATAGAAATTGTTTTTGTTATTCATTTAATGCATAGTTGAAATGAGATATTCTTTCACTGCAAAACAAATAATTTGAATCTCAATTTTAATTTATATTAATATATTTATAAGCATCCTACTTTAAAATATTGATATTATTATTACTTCATAACAGTATGAAGAATTTCCTAATATATATTACCAAATAGTTCATATTTGTTCTCTAGACTCTTTCCTGGAAAATATTTTGCTTGTCAATGGACAGAAATCTCTGTCCCAAATGTAATGACAGAATATATTTGAGCAACATCCTGAAATGAGCACCTTAATAATAATAACAATAATAATAATTAGCTATGAAAACAAAAGTTAATAGATATCATTTATTTAATTCTTACAAGTAAATGACAGTATTTTATGCTTTAAATGTGCATTACTTTACCTCTTAACATTCCTATGTAGTATAATTATAAGCCCTCTTTTAAAAATAAGGAACCCAAGGGCCATGGCTCCACAAGACAGTGGTGGAATCATGATTTGAATTCAGCTAGTCTGGCTCAAGAGTTAATTTCTCTTGACCACCTTTACATGGCTTTCATACATTTGCTGCCTTAAAACATGATTATAGCATGTAAATCAAAACAATTTATATTCTATAGTCTTCACACTTTTGAAAGAGTAAAGTGAAGTACAGACCAGTTAAATAACTTTATGAAGGTATTCTAGCTTTTTAAAAATATTATAATAGTAATATTGTAATATTACCATTATATAAATAGTAAAGTAAAGTAGTAAGTAAAATATTCCAGAAGGAAAAGAGGAACATATAGATATCTTCACTAAATGACCTGGAATTCTGGGCTATGTCATATTTTACTAGTGAGCTGAAATAAAATATTTTTTCCAGAAAAGATACATAGACGTTCTTTCATATTGAAAGGAAATATTTTTCCTAAAACATTTAAATGTTATCTTGGAACATACATGACATTGCCCTGACTCCCACTGATCTGTTTTCTTTTATTTATTTTTCACTTTATTTTTGCTGGAATGCTGGGGGTGGAGTGGGGTGTGGAAAGAGGAAATCTTAAGAAGATTTTTTTTCTGAACTAAATTAGTGAACTAAAAGAAAAACATTAATCATGGAAAGTATTCCTAGATGAGAAAATACCAATTGATAAACACATACCTGTATCCAACTGATTATATAATATCTCATGGGTGTTGTGGTAATACTGTAAAAACATGATTTGTATCTTTGAAATATCAGATTTAATTTAAATCAACTTCAAGCCAACTACTTTATTCCACCACTGGTGAGTAGAACAGTCAGTCCCCACAATGTTTAAGTTAGTGAAGAAATGGAAAATCAGGGAAAGAACATATGTCAGTGTTGATTTGCTCTGTATGTGAAATGCCAAAAGCATTACAAAGACAGATAGCTCATAACACATTTCAGCACCAGTGAAGTACGGAAAAAAAAGTTCATCTCTTCTTGATACAGTTTCTTTTCCTTTCCATTATTAACCATTATTTGATAGTTATTCATTCAAATTTGAACACAGGTTGTAAAAATATATTTGTTTTAATTTAAGTAAATTTAAGTAAGTATAAAATGAATTTACTTGGAGGCTTTTAAAAAGATATCTTTTTCTTTCTTTTAACAGTTTAAATTTAACAAGTATCAATGACTACTTAATAGGGCAATTTTTTAAAAAAGGCAAAAACCACAAAACTCAAATACTTGAAGATTATAGGCATCTTTAATATATGAATTGTAATGTTATCATTCTAATTGTGTCATAGAGAAAAAGTTTAAGCTACTGGTCAAATATGACAGCATGAACACACTCATTTACCTTTACTCTTTCTGGAAAGTCTAACAAAATACCAGTAAAGGAATAAAGATGGTATAAACTCATAAGGGCAATGAGAACAAGGGAAGAAGTGAGTGAAGGGGAAAGAAATCCACAAAACTGTAGAAGATATAAAATAGATTGTTGACCATGACCACTAATTAATAGAGCAGAAAAACAAATAATTGAAGCCCAAATGTCCTCTACAGAGGTGAAAGAAAATTAGAAGCACCAGGTGCATGTAGCTGCCAGTGAGTTGGGGCTGACATCAGAATTATATGAAAATCTGTATGAGGAACAGTTAGAACTGGCTTTCATTCCCTCCTCAGCTTTGGCACACAGGAAAGTGTCCTCTATCACTACAAAAGTATAATGAAGTTGAAGCACAGTCTCTGGAACTCAGGTATCAGTCAAGCACGAGGATCAGATGCCATATTAAAAACAGGACCACAAAGGGAAAACCTACAATACGGAAGGTCTGAATTAGAAGACCCCAGCACCTTTTTCTACTAGCTACCAGGCTAGCAATGAGATTTGTACCTGCACCCTTTTTATACCTCATATGGATAGATTAGAGTAGTCTTTGTTGGAGAAACTGACCTGTGAAGAGAAAGAATCTGACTTTTCCAGGGGTAGTTGCCTAACTAATTACATGCTTCTCCACACAATACCCCCATGGTGAGATTCACCTTTGGAAAAAGCCACAGGGTTAGAGACTTCCAATTAGCTTTTCAGAACTTTCTCTTAAAAACAATCAAGTATCTCCAGACATTTGAAGGAAGTATTTAACATGAAACAAAGATGATAAAAAAGTCAAGAAGAGAAAGTGATTCACAGGAAACGTAATCAATGAAGAAAAAAATAGAAATTTTACATATCTCTCCATGGATATGTAAAATTAATATCCTCAAAGTATTAAAAGAAAGTCATTCATCTAGAATATAAGAAAGCAGGCCAGGTGTGGTGGCTCTTGTCTGTAATCCCAGCAGTTTGGGAGGCCAAGGTGGGTGGATTACCTGAGGTCAGGAGTTTGAGACCAGCCTGGCCAACGTGGTGAAACCCCATCTCTACAAAAAAAAAAAAAAAAAAAAAAAAATTGGCCAGGCATGGTGGTGCATGCCTGTAGTCCCAGCTACTCAGGAGGCTGAGGCAGGACAATCGCCTGAACCTGGGAGGCAGAGGTTGCAGTGAGCTGAGATCATGCCACTCTCCAGCATGGGCAACACAGCAAGACTCTGTCTCAAAAAAACAGAAAGAAGGAAGGAAGGAAGGAGAAAGAAAGAAGAAAGAAGGAAAGAAAGAAAAAGAAAGAAAGAAAGAAAGAAAAAGAAAGGAAAGAAGGAAGGAAAGGAAGGAAGGAATGAAGGAAATAAAGAAAAAGAAAGAAAAAAAAGGAAGAAAGCAACATCCAGAGAACAAGGAGAAACTTATTAAAAAATAACAGAAGAAATATTCATTAGGAAATATTCAGAAAGTTATTGGAGGTGGTAGAGTATCAAGGGTGGGCAATGGAAGTGACTTTCCGAGGGTGCAGGAAATAAGGGGATATAGTGTGTAGAGAATTAAACAATTATAAAATCAACTAAAAGGCCTGCTTTTTATTGTTATTTTGAGCCATCAATTCCAAAAAAAGTCAGTGACGAAATAGGCTTACCTATAAAAAGCTTTAGTTCATCTAACTCCAAAAAGAGGCTATAGTTGCTTTGAGTTATAATAATGTATACCAGGCTCCAAATTAGTGCATTTAAAAAATTACTCATTTTTTAAATGAGTAATCATTTTTTAAATGAGTAATTAAAAAATTACTCATTTTTTAAATGCACTAATTTGGAGTTTGTGTATACATTATTAACTTTAATAAACACTGAATTTTGTATGGAAGTTAATTGGAAGAAATCCCAATTGCCCAGTTTGCTTCTGACACATGCCGTTCTGCTACATTCATTCATTTTAAGTATAAACTCAAGCTCTACTTTTCTTTTAACATTATTTCCCCCACCCCAAATTTATTATTAAATCCAGAAATATTTTGAAAGTTTTACCAAATACAATACAAATTTATAGTCAAATTTGTAATGAATATATTTTAGTGACATTTCTAACTGTCATATTCAAAATAGAAACATTAGAGAGCTACAGAGTTGGATCCAAGGAAACAAAACAAGGACAGTATAATATTTTCTGGAATTTATTGTGAAGTACAATTTTCATGTTTTAATTGTTATTCCCCTTATTGTTTCTTATCTTGCATAATTTTTCTTCCTGTCTCCATTTTTCTTGGTGAAACTGTTTATTTGATTAAATTTTTCATAACAAAATGATTTTGAATTATTAATTAGGTGGACTATGTTTCTATTGTCTACCTCATTAATCTTTACTTTTACATTTTATACTTCCTCCCTTTTTATCTAGGTTTCTTTGGTATAGATATTTAATTCATTTATTCATTTTATTTTTATAATTTAGCAGGTATAATTGACATACAATAAAATACACACATATTTAAATTGTGTAGCTTAAATTCTACCCATAAAATTGTCACAACAATAAAGATAATAAATATATCAATTACCCTAAGAGTTATCTTGTTCCCATTTCTCTCTATGTAATGTATCTTCTTCTCACCTCTTCACAGCCCCTTATCCTGAGACAACCACAGATGTAGTTTCTTTAACTATAGATTAGTTTGCGTTTTTTTTAGAATTTTATATTATTGAAATAATCTGTGAACTCATTTATCTGATTTACTCAGCATAATCGTTTTGTGATTTCATCCATGTTGTAACATGTATCAGCAGTTCATTTATTATTTACTTCATGGTATTTTACTGCTTTTTTATCCTTTAGCCTATTGATGTATGTTTGTATTGTTTCCAGTTTGGGGCTATTGCAAATAATGCTCCAATAACCATTTATGTACAAATCATTGTATGAGCATATATTTTTATTTCTGTTGGGTAACTAGGGATAGAGTGTCTAGGTAATATGGTAGGTGTATGTTTAACCTTTTTAAAAACTACCAAAAAGTTCACCTAAGCGATGGTACCATTTTCATTCCCATTAGCAGTATATGAGAGTTCCAGGTCTTCCACATCCTTGCCAACAGTTGGTATGGTCAGGTTTGTTTATTTTAGACTTTTTAATAGAAATGTAGTAGTATCGCATTGTGGTTTTAATTTGCACTTCTCTAATGACTAGTCATGTGGAGTATCTTTTCAAGTGTTTATTGCCATCCATCTGTCTTCTTTGGTAAAGTGTCTGTTCAAATCTGTTCTACTTTTATTATTGATTTTTTTTTGTTTTGTTTTTGAGACGGAATCTCGCTGTCACCCAGGCTGGAGTGCAGTGGCATGATCTCGGCTCACTGCAGGCTCTGCCCCCCGGGGTTCACGCCATTCTCCTGCCTCAGCCTCTCAAGTAGCTGGGACTACAGGCGCCCGCTACCTCGCCCGGCTAATTTTTTGTATTTTTAGTAGAGACGGGGTTTCACCGTGTTAGCCAGGATGGTCTCGATCTCCTGACCTCGTGATCCGCCTGCCTCAGCCTCCCAAAGTGCTGGGATTACAGGCGTGAGCCACAGCGCCCGGCCGAATTTTTTGTTTTCTAATCATTAAGTTTTGAGAGTTTTAAAAGTCTTTTAAAAGATATATACTTTGAAAGTATTTTTTTTCCTAGCTTGTGGCTTGCCTTTTCATTCTACTAAGAGTGTCTTTTGAAAAACAGACATCCTTAGTTTTAATAAAGTCCAATTTATCAGGTTTTCTTTTTTTTCATTTTCTTTTTTTTTTTTGAGATGGAGTTTCACTCTTGTTGCCCAGGCTGGAGTGCCATGGCACGATCTCGGCTCACTGCAACCTCCGCCTCCTGGGTTCAAGCGATTCTCCTGCCTCAGCCTTCCGAGTAGCTGGGATTACAGCCATGCGCCACCACGTCTGACTAGTTTTGTATTTTTAGTAGAGACAGGGTTTCACCATGTTGGTCAGGCTGGTCTTGAACTCCTGACCTCAGGTGATCCGCCCACCTCAGCCTCCCAAAGTGCTGAGATTACAGGCATGAGCCACTGAGCCTGGCTCGATTATTTTCTATATATGGTAAAATTATTTTTGCTTTAAACAGGACATTATATGTTGCAGATATTTCAATAATTTTTAAAAGTCTTTCTGTTTACCAATGTAGTTACCATTTCTGATGTTCTTTGTTCCTTTATTTAGATTTGGATTCTATCCGGCATAATTTACTTTTTGCTTGAGTGACATCTTTGACAGGTTTTATAGTGCAGGTATGCTGAAGTATTTTAATTTCGTAGGTTTGACAAAATCTTTATTTTGTCTTTTTTCTTGAAAGACAATTTTATTGGGTAAAGAATTCTAGGTTGACAGTTTTTTTCTTTTTGGTCTTTAAAGATGTTGCTCCACAGTTTTCTAACTTGCATAATTTCCTACCAAAATTTGCCTTAACCTTGTTTCTCTCTATAAAATGTATTTTCCCTTCCCTCTCCTATTTCTCTTAAAATTTTCTATTTATCACTAGTTTTAAGTAATTTGATATTGATGTGAGTTATGGGCTGAATTGAGTTCCCCCCAAAATTCATATGTTGAAGTCCTAATCCTTGGCACCTCAAAAATATGATTGTATTTAGAGATAGAGTACTTAACGAGGTAATTAGATTAAAATGAAGTCATTAGGATGGGCCCTGATCTAACATAACTGGTGCCCTTATAAGATGAGGAAATGAGGACACACAAAGCTACAGAGGGAAGATGATGTTAAGACATGGGATACAAGCCAAAGAGAGAAGCCTCAAAATCAACCAGCTACCAGCTTTATCTCAGACATGTAGCTTTCCAAAATTGTGAGAAAATAAATTTCTTTTGTTTAAGCCATGCAGTCTGTAGTATTTTGTTATGACACCACTAGAAAACAAATACAAATTCCTTGATGTAACTTTCTTTGTGTTTCTAACATTTGGGATTCATTGAGCTTCTTGGATTTCCATCAAATTTGAAAATTTTCAGCCATTATTTCTTCTTTTATTCTGTCTCCTGCCTTTCCTTTCTGGATTCAAATAATATGTATATTAGGTTGCTTCAAGTTATCTCCTAGCTTACTTATACTGTATACATTTTCTTTATTCTCTTCTGTGTTTAATTTTTGAAGATTTGACTGCTAATTCTTGAATAATCATTTTTCTTTAATGTTTACCCTACTGTTAGCTATATCCAGTATATTTTTCACTTCTAACATTGTAGTTTCTATCTCTAGAATTTCAGTTTGGGTCATTTAAAAAATATCTTCCAATTCTTTACTTGCCACATTTAGACTTTCATCTAATTTTTTGAATATGGAATATAGGTATAAAAACTTTTAATATCATGAACCATTAATTCTACCATCTTTACCAATTTTCTGTTGGTTTCACTTGGTTGATTTTTCTCCTTATTCAGAAGAATTTATTATGGGTAGCATTTTCCTGTTTCTCTGTATTCCCAACAATTTCTAAAAGTTGTGAATTTTATATTTTTAGGCACTTAATTTTTTATTCCTTTAAATATCCTTGAGAGCTTTATTCTTGGACATGGTAAGATTAATTATAATTAATCCTACCTTAAAAGGTAGGTTTAAAATTGCTTTTAATAAAGCTTAAAAGAGCTTTATTCTTGGACATGGTAAGATTACTTATAACCAATCCTAACTTAAAAGGACATGGTAAAATTACTTATAATTAATCCTACCTTAAAAGTAAGAGTAGTTAGACCATTCAGGTCTTACTTTTAAGGTTTGTTAGGTGGGGCTAGAGAAACATTTAATCTAGGATTAATTTTCTCCATTGCTGAGGTAAAACCCCTCTGAGTACTGCAATGTTCTGTGAACTATGAGATTTTTCAATCTAGTTGGTGACCCTGTGTTGCCTTTAACAATTATTCTGTCTCATTCTTTCAGATAATTCATTCTCTCTTGCTCCAGGTAAGTTATTCTTACGTATCACTGATACTCAGCTCAGTTCTTGAGGGGGGGTCCTCTTTAGATCTCTGCTGCTTTTTGTCTGTGACGTTCACTCTTTTCAAGCATATTTCTCAGTGACCATAGATGCCTTGACTTTCTGATACTGAAAGTTCCACCTCAACTCAAGGAGACTTCAGTGCTCTCCCTGGTTTCCTCCATCCTCACTGCATCCTGGAGACATAGTCCAGGCAATAATCTGGGACAATCACGGGGCTTATATTATTTGTTTCCCATCTCTCAGAAACCAGTGTCCTTTGTTTTCTGACACTGAATGTCACAACAGTTATTTTATTCAGTTCATTATTTTTTATCAAGACATGGAGTTTTATTAGGGGCTTAAATACAGAGGAGACAGTCCAGTGGCTGTGGGCTGGACAGGAGAAGTGCCTTACATAGAGAAATGGTACAGTGATGGTAGGCTGGACAAGATGGTGAGCTGGACAAGACATCTCACAAACAGTCCAGTGATGGCAAGGTGGACAACATACTGGCCTTACCTACACTGCAGTGGTGGTGTGCTGGACAAAACCACATAGCCGAGTGATGGCAGCCTAGGCAGGAAAACTGCAACTGCTTACAAAGAGCATGCAGTTTATATAGCACTTTCTTTCTTTTTCAAAAATGGAAAATGTTTTTAATTTAATAAAATTAAAACACAACATATCAGAATTTATGAGATGTAGCTAATGTAGAAATGACAAGAATGTGGAACTCACATACGTTGCAAATGGGAATACAAATGGTACAGTCATTTGGGAAACAGTTTGGTAGTTTTCTATAAAGTTAAGCATAGAATTACCCTAAGACCCAAGAGAAACAAAAATGTCAACATAGAATAATGCACTTGAGTTTATCTTGAAAACTGTTGTCACTGAGATTCTTTATTTTATTTTTTTAGGTTTATTTTAAATATTATTTTAGGTTCAGGGATACATTTACAAGTTTGTTATATAGGTTAACTCATGTCATGGGGGTTTTTTGTACAGATTATTTCATCACCCAGGTACTAAACTTAGTATCTGACAGTATTTTTTCTGATCCTTTCCCTTCCACCCTCCACGTTCAAGTGGGTCCCAATGTCTGTTGTTTCCTTCTATTTGTCCACATGTTCTCATCATTTAGCTCCCACTTATAAGTAAGAAAATGTGATATTTGGTTTTCTGTTCCTGCATTAGTTTACTAAGAATAATGGCCCCCAAACTCCATCCATGTTCCTGCAAAGGACAGGATCTTGTTCTTTTTTATGGCTGCATAGTATTCCATGGTGTATATGTACCACATTTTCTTTATCCAATCTGTCATCAATGGACATTCAAAGCACATTAGTGCTTTGAACTTTCCTCTAATTACTGTTTAAATATATGTCATTGGTCCTAAAATGTAGTATTTTTATCATCATTTGTTTTTTAATCCTCTAATTTTAGTTTGTTTTTCCCTTTTCACCTGAGAGTTAACGATTTTTTTAAATTTTTAATTTACAGGTGAAAGGACTTTTTAAAAATTTGATCAGTAATTTCTAATTGTATTGTTTTGTGATTGGAGAGTTGTCGTAATACTTTATGAAACTTACTGATGCTTTATTTGTGACCTAATGTATTATCAACCTTTTAAATAGTAATATATTTTTAGGTTTTATTTTTATATTTGTCTTCACTTACAATGTTTTTCAAATCTTCTCTCTACTTTTATTAAACTCTCTAAACTTCCACTACTATTATCTACTCTTGACAATTGTTCCAAAGTACTACACAGAGGCACAATTCCCATATGTTTGCATTGATGAAAATAATAGTGATAAGGACATTGTTTATCAAAGAGATCCTTTCTCCTACTTCTGTAGTTTCTTCAATTCACCAAAAATATATTGAATATAATTCGATACCAAAGATACCAGGCCAAAGACCTGGTCTTTGACTCAGAAGGAACACGATACTCTCCCATGCTTTTCCTTCCCTGAGTTTTGCTAGAATCTCCTATGATTTTGTATCCATATTTTTAAGTACAGTGTTCTAAAGACTTAACTATTGCCATATTGTATTACTCAAAATTTCTGTACAGCCTACTCAGAAAAACTATACTGATGATTCCTAATAACAAGAATGTGTACCATCTTCATCTTTCCCTGTTCTTTGCTACCTTTCTCTGAGCTATAAATACTCTGGTTTCAAGCAGTTAGTAGGACATTATTATTACTAACTATAAAACCATAGGAGAAGTGAGAGAAAAATAATAGATACCAGAATGTTAATATACATTATAATCGTAAAACTAAAAATGATTGTAAAATTACAGTCACCAATAATGAAAACATCTTTGTGAAATGGGGAAAGTCAAATGTTTCAACTAGCAAACATCTGTACATTTAATATTTTATAAAAGTGTAACTTTACAATTAAGAGGATAAAATGAGAATTAGACTATTTTTCCTGCATTTTTTACTTATACAAAATGGTGATAAAAATGTCAACCTAGTTGGGTTGTTGATAAAATTAGAACTAATGAATGTAAAACATTCTTGACACATAGCAGGTATTGGATATACAGTCATTCTTGTTTTCATAATTATTAATACATTCTCCTATAAAGAGACATTTGTAATTTTTTGAAACAATGATCCTGAGACATAAATAACTTAAAGGCCTGTCTGGAATACATTTTGGGGGAATTCAGGACTTTAGATGTTTTTTCTACCAGTAGTTGGAAAAAGACTAGTAGTCATATGTGATTTCTGCTGACCTGAATTTATTTCCAGTAACAGCGGTCATAACAAAGCATTCAAATATGACTTTGTATATCTCAAATGTCATGGGAGAAGCTGGAACTGTACAAGAGAAAATCATTGCCAGACGTTCTGGTTCTCTTCTCTTATTTAAAAGCAGCCAAACTCAACTCATCCTTCAGTTTTCTGCTTACACATGCTCACTTACAAAGGGAGACCATCCCTTTTAGGGTAGGTCAGATACTCCTCTAAGTGGTCCTATGTCACCACCCCACCTTAGTTTACCCTATCATAGTATTCATCACATTTTTTTCATAGTTATTGTGTGGTTATATTTCTTCCTGACATATTGAAAACTTCATAAAAAAGGAAAAACGTATCTGTCGTATTCATTGGTGTAGCCCCAGCACTGAGCAGATTATTTTACACAACATTGGTTACTCAATAAATATTAAATAAATGAATGGGTAAATGAATACATTTCCCAATAGTTGTGCAGGTTTAAATTTAGGGCCAGAGACATCTCTAGAACTTGTGTCTGAAGTAGACACCAGAAAATCAGAAAACACATTCCTTCAAAGGTTTTCAGTAGGTTGCAATTCCTGGGCAACCTCTCTATCACTGACAATCACCACAGACCATCAGAGATCATCTGAATTGGCACTGCTTTGGAACCAGCTAGGACTCCCTAATCCACAGCTATACATTATGTATATACATATTCAGATTCAACTAAACTGGTTTGTAAAGAAGTACCTATGTACCACGATAAAAGACAGGTGCTTTATCATGTAATTTCACTCAGTGGTACAAACTTTAATGGGGCAGGATGCTCATTTGCATTATAAATAAAGAAGTAAGCTACAAAATATATCACAACTAGAGCCAAATCATCTAGCTTGTTAGTGGAAGAACAACGATGCATACAAATGTAATGTAAGCTTGCACATTGGGAGTGAATATTTTGAAGCAAGGCACAATTTGATTGTGTGTGTTTTTCCATGGGTGTATCATGTGTCATCAGTGAACTCAACTGAAGCCCAAATTGATCTGTCTTATAGAATATATTAGGATATATCTTATAGAATATATTATATATATATAGAATATATCAATACTATCCTTATTGACATTCACTTGCTATCAGGCAATAGATTATGTACATTTTCTACATCTCATTTTTCTCATCTGCAAAGTGAAAATACTACGTGCCTTGTTTCTCTCATGAGGTCATGGGAAGAGCAAGCAAGATATCCACATGGAAGTCATATTGCAATAATATAACACTTCAAAATTTTAAAAAGATTGTTAACACAGTTATCCCTATTTTCTTACCCTGTACTTATTTTACTGAGCAAGCTTTGTTTTCTTCTTTATTTGTATTTGTGGGTTTATAGCTTTTAGGTAACTACTCCCAAATTCTTTCAATTCTATCAACATTATCCTAGTTAGTTTGAAGGATTTTTTTCAGATTTAGACATATTAAAAATCAAATTGGATTCCCAGAAAAATAACAATTGTTTACACTGAAAGTTTGCTTTTCCATGGTTATTCTTAAAATGAAGGCGAATTCAAGAAGGTTTGATGAAAACAATATTGGACTTGACTTTTGAACACTGCTCTACATTTATCAGCATTACAGCCCTTAAT
Source organism: Homo sapiens (assembly GCF_000001405.40). Classification (NCBI taxonomy): domain Eukaryota; kingdom Metazoa; phylum Chordata; class Mammalia; order Primates; family Hominidae; genus Homo; species Homo sapiens. The sequence continues at coordinate 80,715,835 of NC_000004.12, read as the reverse complement.
TTGAAACTTCCATCAATAAAATGGTGGTGATAATTGCGAGTTGTCTTAAAAATCATCAAATTCCATCAAATGGCCAATAGCACAAAAGACTTTGTGCTTTACTCATATAGTCAATATTTAAGAGAAAATGCATTTAAAAGAAAAACGTACATTTTATATATTTTAAACCAGTTTTTGTTTTTTGAAAATAATTTTTTATTTCTAAAAAGCATATGCCATAATGTTAACTAATTTGATGGTAAATTGAATATATTTCTTTGATAACACAAAGTGTAGACCCATTTTGGTCTTTCAGAAGTGCAATATTTATGACAACCCTCAGGAAATTAAAAGGTTTGCTATTACCACATCAGAAACAAGAAAAAAATGTCTGCCATCACAAAACAAAACAAACCTTTTTGTGGAAAGTATTGCTTGATCTGTTATTATCAGCAGCAAATAGACCTAAGCATTGCCAGAATTTATAGGGAAATCAACATATCTGAGGTAAGCCAACTTGTCCTTTTTCCCCCTCTCTTAAACAAGGTTGGGTTATATGGAGGCAGCAAAATGCTTTGTATTTCTTTACTATGTTCCAACCAAATCACATAGCCAAGTTTCAGAATCATTGTGTTTATATAGTGAACTTCAAACACCTATTTCCTAATTTGGATTGATCAGAACATCTTCAAAACATCTGCCCAACTTGGTACTCTGCCCAGGAAGTCTAATAACTTTTGAGAAGAGAAACTAAGATTTATTGGGTAAGACAGGGAACTACCTGGAAAATTGTGAGGTTTTAGTAAGACTATCGGTACTCCTAAACTTGCCAAGAGTCAGCCCTGTGGAATTCAGTAAGAACTCTAGGTAGCTTGAACATAAACTCTTTGATTAAATGCAATTATAAGAAATTGTCATGTGTCAGAATTGATATTTTTTTCCTGGAATAACATACAAAATAGTCAATGTCGGAAGTATGATTAGTAGATTTCCAAAACGGGCTCAATTTTCCTACATGGTATGGTCTGGAAGTAATGAGAAATTCTGCTTTCTGCTTTCTCAAAACTCCATCTCTTTTCCAAGTTCTGGGATGCTTACAATTTTGCTTTCTGAACAACTTTTGTAGTTTCCAAAGGGAAAGAGCACGTAGCAAGGTATGGGTATGATGAAAAAAACAAAAAACTAAAAAACTAAATTACTGCCAATGTTAAAGGAGAGCGTTTTCTTGATGGACTCAACATGACTCCAGGTCTATTCTCAAAGTTTCAGAGTTAGAAATTTGATTTGTTGGCATTCTGGAAGTGGATTTGTATCTCAAGAACTGACTCACATTAACCAAAGTTCATGGAGCTATAATGGATAAAATCAGATAATATTTTAAGGATTAGCACTGAGAACCGTAACTGTTCATGTATTTGGGTACTTTGTCCTTTACCCAGAGCATTTTCTCCAGGCAATCTAACCACAATGCAAGTCAAAGTATAATCAGAAGTTGAATAGGACTATTTACTGTATGATTTCAATGTTTAAATTCATCATCTCATATGACTGTTTACAAATTAGAGTTAGTCCTTCCACAAAGCAGCCCTTCCCAGGCATTATGGAAGCTTCTCTCTCTTTTCCTCTGTACTCTCTATAGCCCACACTTCATATAAAAATATCCTCTAGGAGGAGGATCTATAAAGTCACTAGCAAACATTGCTTTCCAAATCAGTTTCTCAAATAACTCTTCCCTCAAGGAGCGAGACAGCATTAAATCATAGATAGGCAGAAGGATAAAATTCAACAAGGAATAAAGGTGAAGAAGCAAGAAGTGCTGAAGCTATACATATATATATATATTCCACTATCTCATAAGTTTAATAGAGGCTGCTCTGTGGCCTACTTCTACTTGGGCATCAGCAGTCTTCTTCCTGGAGTTTGAATATTCATTAAAATGATTATAAACTGGAAGTTAAATGTCTTTATGAACCAAATGCAAAAGCAGCCACAAAGTGCATTTACTTCGATTCTTTTAGAAGGGACTTTTTTCAGTTATTATTCTGAAGGCCATTACTTTATTATTTTGTGTAAATGTAAAGTTACAAATTAAATAAGCTTGGTTGCATAGCATAGTGAATAAGGCCATAGCTCTAAAGAAGATCTGGCTTTGAGTCTTACCTCACCCACTGCTTAGTTGTGTGACTATCTCTAAACATGGGGATAATAAAAGCACCTCACTTACAATGTTGTAGTAAGGGTTGCACTCGAGCATGTAAAGTGCTTGGCAGAATGCCTGGCCTGTAATAAGTGCTGCATAAATTCTGATGGCTACTGATGTTGCCACTGATATTACTGTTGTTGCTATTGGTGATGTCTTTGTGGGATTCTTCTAATAGCCTCCCACATTATAGAAAGCAATTTATTTTCTATGGAATATGATGGAATAAGAACAGTTTAGGTCAGACCATTGTTGTCTATTGCCTGGCATCTTACTGTAAAGTTTGATAGTTCTCAAAACTGCACACAACAGCATGTTGCACAGCTGGATGTGCAATTCTCTGGACTGCAGCTCTTCAGTGGCCTCCTACATGGGTTCAATTGGGTTAATAGAGTCCAACTTTGGCCAACTCTACAGCTTCCTCTCTTTTCCCTTCCTCTTTTTACTTTAAGATCCATTAACATTAACCTCCTGAGAGGGTTTCCTGTGCTATCTCTCACCTACATACTTTTGCTTCTGCTTCTCTACTCCATTGGAATGCCCTCTCATCTCCAGTCTATTAGGTTAACTCCTACATACCCTTGAATGGTTAGTTTTTACATCATCTCTTGGCCTCTTAACTCAATGATTGGCTCACCACTGTTCCCAGCACCCAGCACACTGCTTGACATACTAAATGCTCTCAAAAAATGAATGAATGAAAGGATAGCCCTTTAACAGGGTTCTAATAGGGCACTCCACTAAGAGAGATGAGGAAATGGAGACACAAAGAAGTCTCCATTTGCAGGTTTGAAGCAAAATATTGGTCAGATTATGAAAAACAGTCTTCAGATACATAAATATGGGCACTTACAGTACAATTTTTGTAAAATCTAAAAGTCAACAGATCATTTTATGGCACACCATTCACTGATTAGTTGAATTAATCCAGCTATTATCGAAGGGAAAAACATACTAATTCATTTCTGTATGTGATTTTTTTAAAAGTCTTTAGACACATTATAATATATTGAGTTGTTGATTTGAAAGTTAAGAGTTTACTCAGCTTAGTAAAGAAAATAATTAAAAATTCTTAATTTTGGATTATACAGTTAGTCACCATTGTTGACTTACACATTTAATTCACTCAAGTCAAAACAAGATTTTTCATTCAGCCAGCACTACAAGCTCAAGCTAGTAGCTAAGAAATTAAGCCAATTTGCCATTGTTAGTTAGTCTTTGTCATGCTTTATGTTATCACATACAACCTGGATTCTGAAATTAGTACTTATCTGAAGTTTTTGTTGAAACTTGAGGTAAAATGAAGCTAATCTGCTTTATCTCAGCTGTATTGGCTTTCTAATATGAATAGTAACACTTCTTTTTCTCAGTATGCTACAATTGTAATTCAGATGGTATTTAAGGAGCAGATGCTGAGAAGGAATGGTTCTGAGGAGAGTATGGCTGTTGGACAGTAACCAAATGCCTTAAATACATAACATAGCATGTTGTTAGTGACTTGCACCATTAGCCTTCAAGAAGTTTACCTCATAACCATGGCCTCAGCATGTGTAAGCCCACCAGATGCTTAGCTTAATTACACTTTTGAGATACGTGCACTTGGCAGTACATCATGAGCTAGGTAAGTATTGCCTCCTAGCAGCTAACATTAGAAAGTAACCAGGAAGGAGACTCCATTTTAGAAATGCAAGCAAAGGATGCAATTTTAAACACTGAGATAACTCCAGCTGCACATTTTGATCTGTTGTAAAAGAGCAGAATCAATTCATAGAACTTGTATTCCACAATGTTTGGGTGAAATGTCTCTTAAGCATACTTGGAGGGCCTAATCTTGAAGTTGCCTCATTTGATGAATGGTAGCAACTCATTTCTCCAGCATAATTCAAAAATACGGTACTCTGGATCAGAACATCTCCCAGATAGCTAAATACTTTTTTTAAATAGCATAACAAAGTATGGTGTAACAGAAAGAATGTCAGTCTTGGTTCCAGTTAGCTGGGAGTTAGGACCCTGGCCCTGCTACTCACAAGCTATGTACCCTAAGACAAGTCACTCAACATCCCTCAGCCCCAGTTTCCTCATCCGTAAAATAAATATAATGTTATCTACCTGTTGGGTCTATGACTACACCAGTTGTCACGCCTAGGTCCAGGTTCCAGCCCATACTGAGGTCCGAGGGGAGGGGTGGATAAGCAGATAGCTGAATGAACACTCAGTGGGGCTGTAGGCAGGTGAAAGATGAGTTTATTCAGCAGCAGCTCTCATCAGCAGCTTACTTACACTAGCTCTCTCACACTGTCCACCTTGTCTCAGCTGTCTGCTCCAGCTCTGTGGCTCCTCTGAGCAGCTCACCCACACTAGCTCTCTCACACTGTTCACCTTGTCTTGGCTACTTAGTCCAGCAGCTCCCACACACAACTGAACAGCCGGCTCTCCCCTGCTTTCAGGGTCAGCGGCTTAACTCTTTCTCTCTCTGGGCATGAGCTGAGCAGTGCTGTGTCCTGCCTCCCCACTCTCCAGTTTTTCTGACTGTTCTTTCTCTTTCTGGGCACAAGTGTGCCTGTGTAGTGTCAGCAGGGCAATTATACCTTTTACAGACAACAGAGGCTTAGTGCCAAATGATGAGCCTTCCCATGTTATGGCTACATGGGTGTGATAACAAGAGGAGTTATACGCCTGTGCTCTAAACTCGCTGAGTCACTCTGGAGGTTTACCTGGGCCCATCCTTGACCAAAGCACAGTCATGTTCCTTACACTACTCTTTAAGGTTGTTTTAAGGCTTAGAGATTTGTTTGTGAAGTCCCAGGTACAAAAAAGGAGCCCAATAATCAGCCAGTATTAGTGTTCATTGTATCATTATGTGTACGGTCTGATGGAATTTTAGAGTGAGTAAAAAAAAGTAGAATGAGAGGTAGAGAAGTTTCAAGCTCAAATGCTGTCAGGGCTGAAGTAAGTGAGTGGGTAAAGGGGATGAGGGATGATGTAGTTGGAACGCTGGTAGAATCAGGGAATGTACGCTTCCTCTAAAGGATTTTGAATTCAAAATCTTTTAAACACCATGGACAGAAAAAAAAAAAAGTCTTATTTCTCGTATGTGAATTTGTCCCAGGCCATCAATCTGTAATGCTTGATATTCCAACTTACCTTTTTTTTTTTAAAAAAAAAAAAAAAAAGAAAAAGAAAAAGAAAGCCCACGTTATGAGAGACTTGTTACTTGTCCTAATCACCCAAACATTTAGTGGCAGAGTTGAAACCAAATCTCCCTCTTAGTGTGTTTATTTGAGCTTTCTTCTTTCAATCACAAACTTGTCTTTTTCTGGCATCCTTTCTGGAATTCTTAGGGAAGAAATCTAATTTCCTTTTCTGGTTTCTGCATGTTGCTTTCCTTGGACCAAGTTGATCCTATTATCCTCTGCCATCCTGGCCAATGAGAAAACAAATGAGTTCACCTGCTTTCACTCTGGGTCTTTAAATACTAAGGCTCAGAAGAAATCCTCTCCTAGTTCACATTTCTGATTTTTCAAGCCTGGAGACAACTGGTTACAGAACTTCTTCCCCCTTTGAACCTCAATTTCTAATTCTACATATTTTCTTTCAGCTACATTTGCTAGTATTATTCCCACTTTATGGATGAATAAATTGAGGCATACAGATATTAAGCAGCTTGCCCTAGATCACACAGCTTTAAGACTTAGAACTTACTCTAGAGGCAATGCTCTTAGCTATTACATTCTTCTGTCTCTTGAAATTCATATTACTTTTTAAAAAGTATTATGTTAAAATAATTTTAAAGAAAATGAGAGCTCCCATTATTCATTGGCTGAAATGCCCTTACCACCTCACTTCTTTCCTCAGATATGCTTTGTGCTCCCACAATGTTGAAGTAACGTCCCCAGGTTTTTGCACATTGCAGGCAACATCAGCGAAATCAAAATTCCTATGCAAGGTGTTGACTTAACAAAACAAACTTCTGGTTCAACCAGTCTGTTCCACACTGTGCCTAGTGACCTCAAGGACCTGATCGGTGTTCGTGTTACATTTTATCTACTTTATGAATGACAGAACAGTGTGAGCCTTTGCTGAATCAGATTGTCCAGCATCTGAACTCCTAAGGGGGTAGGTGAAGCATTGGCTCCTTCAGGTTGATACAGCAGCTCAAACTTAGGAAGAAACGTGCTCAATAAAGTTCTTAAACGTAGTAGTAATGACTTATATCAAGCAGGGAGCAGCACTTTGTAACTGTGTTTCTGACAACCCTGATATTTAATCCAGATTATTTACATGTATTACAGGCTTATACTTGTTTGCAACCTTGGCAATTTTTTTTGTCTTTATACTTTTCAACAGCATGATTTGCTTTCATTTATTCATACAACAGCAAGGATGTAAGCCAAAATGTCTTTCAAAGAAGCCACATCCTTTACAAAGGTAAAACATGTGGGTGAATAAAAAAGCTAAACTCTGAAAAGAAAAATGAGTTTCTCTAGTTACTGACTAAAACCTTATCATAAAAGGGTTTTCACTATAGAAATATATTTGTCTTAGTTTTAACATTTATTGGGCTCATTTTGATTTAGCATGCTTTTTCCAACTATTGAGAAAAGTTAAAATGTTAACAGCCACAGTATTTGTAATAGTAAAAACTCAGCTGATATTTATTTTGTGTTACTTTTGCTGTTTTTAAGATGATATTCTACAGATTAGATGACAAACTAAACATAATCTGGTTCCCTATATTAATCTTTAAATATGTTCTTCTTTACATTTGTAAACAATGCTTATAGTTATCAATTTTAATATTTCACGTTGTACTTTTGCTTATTGGTAACTAAAAGTTTGCATTTGAGAGCATTTTTTTATAATGCATCAGTTTTAAATTTTATTTGCTCTTAACTACATTATTATTTGCATTGTTTTTGTGTGTGAGTGGTCATAAGCAGAGAGAGCTCATAGTATAACAACTCTGAAAATTGTCCAAGTGACTCTTTCCATTGAAAGCTGTTTGAAGAGATGCATATGTACTCACTTTCAGTATGTTAAAAATATTAACACGAAAGGCACTTTTTCATAAATATTTTAACACTAGCTTAAAATATAATCTTAGCATACCTTCTAAGAAAAATGCCAACCAAGAGCCTTTTCCAATTGAATTTGTATACGAAGAGTATAATTCAACTGGAAATCATACACTGAAGCAAAGAAAGAAAATGCCAGGCATCACATGGAATGTTGGACTCAGTTTTACTTACATTCAGTAAAGCAGAATGAATCTGGAATATATTTACATAAAGAGCAAAAGGACAAAGAATGCCTCTGTTTCTTACTAGGATTAAACTCTTATCTAGGTGGTCTGCAAAGAAACAAAGATGTAAGAATGTAAAGCATAGATTGATCAGTCCTTTACTAGCCATCCCAAAAGGAAGAATTGGTTGAAATCTATCAGGGAAACATTATGTATCCATCTACTGGTCAAACTATGAAAATCAAAACAAATGAAGGAACTTAACTTGAAAACATGCCAAGAGTTGCACTTGCTGTTGAACCGATGCAGCCTGGATATTCTAGTGAAGTTACTAGATTCCTGATTTCTATTGATACTGGCTCCTGATTTTCTGATTTAGAACTATCAAGCTTGCACTAATTGTTCCTCATGGTTGAGAATGGAAAGTTCCTGATTTGTGTTGCTTGCACCTTCAGAAACTCCGTCATCAGATTCCTGAATTTTCCTTCCTCCAAAGAATTACTGATTCATCACAGCTAGAGCTGATTGGACAAATGAGTACATATGCAAGCCTATTTTCTTGAACTACAATGGAATACTCATTTACCCCAATTTTGTGTTTGCTACACAGATAATTATAATGTAGCCATATGTATAAATCACTCATTGAAGTTGAATGAAACATTTGGTACGCTAGAATTGATTTTATATACCTGAGACCAGATGAGAAGTAAGAAGCATTATGAAATAACAAAATACTTGGCAAGGTGAGGTATTGGGCTACAGTAATAAAGAGTTTGTGCATTTCCTAAAGATAAACAATGACTATAATGTCTCTGCATAATAAATATGTTTTGCTTATGGTGTGTTATGACTATGTGTGGCACTTTAAACACTGTGGAATTATAATTGTGTCACTTGATGGATAGTGTACTTAGTAGTATTGAGCAGTAATGAGAGCACCAGATATGGTCTCAGTGGTGGTTTCTTAACATTGTCATTCTAGTGCATAAACAGCCATAGATGATACATAAACAGATGAGCATGGCTGCATTTTAATACAACTTTATTTATGGACACTGAAATTTGAATATAATTTTCATGTGTCATAAAATATTCTTCTTCTTTTGATTATTTCTTAACCATTTCAACACTTAAAAACCAGTCTCATCTCATGGGCCCGACAAAAATAGGTAGCAGAAGAAAGAGATTTGGCCCACAGGCTGTCATAATATTCCAGCCCCTGTTCTAAAATTTAGATGTTTTGCACTTAAAGGCAAAACAGGTCTGGGTTACTGGTCAGGGTCCCCATGTGTTACTATAGAAGATTAAACATAAATCTGGAAAGGTACAAAATCTTATTTTCAGAAAAAGCACTTTGCTTAAGTCTTGACATAAGAGGATACAAGAATCCAACAGTCCTACAAAGCCTTTATTGGCAACTTGAGGCAGTGTTCCCTATTGTGTGATTCATGAATCAACCACTTTGTGGGGAGAGGGGCGGTACTTATAAATGTATATTCACGCCTACTTCCAATTTTATTTCATTAGGAACCTAAACTTTTAATAAATGACCCAGTTAATTCTTATGTATACTAAAGCTCAGGAGCAGCTTTCTTAAGAGCCCATATGTATATCTAATCAGATACAGAAATGTCAAAACTGATGACCATAAGCCCACTCAATAAATATCACTCTAACAAATTGGTGCCAGGACAAAGGGAAACTAGAAAACTCAGTTTTAAATGTATGCTAAAACATGCATCACACATACACAAATATATACATAGATATTCACACACACATATAACTTTTTGTCTCTCAGTAGGAAGCAGTTTAATGTATCTACAAAATTTTAATAATTTTCTCTTTATAATTACTCTGGCTATAATTTCATGTATCAATGACTATGATTATCAGGAGTTTGCATGTGTTTATGTTGGGAAAGTATTAGGAGAAAAGAGGATAATAATTTTAAATCTGATTTAAATTCATATTTTACCCCCCAAAAAACCATTCCTTTGGTTTCTTTGAAACTTTGAAGTTTATTCTAGCTGGATAGGCCAAGATTTAATATAAGTGGGATTTTTTTTTCATTTAATACTTAGACAATACAGGGGGGTTCTGGAACATCCTCATTTGTTTTAATTAAAACTTTCGATGTTTAGGGTATGTTTGCATAAACCCACCTCTCAAATATCAGAAAATATTTAGCAAATATAAGAAAATATAAGCAAGTAGGTATACTTGCTTATAAGAGCCTACATTTGAAGTCAAATTGTCGTTATAAAGGAAGTATAATCTGAATATAGAACATTCCATAGCAGCTAGTTAATGATATATTACCGTACCTTAACATATGCACTTCAACACATCTGAGAAGGTTGTATGCATTTAAAAAGCAAGATTTATTGCATAATCAATATTGCAGCAGTAGAAGAAATTTTTTACAATTCAAAAAAATTGAAGATTTCACTAAATTAAATATTCGTATGCTCCCTAGTTAAAACACACTCATTATTTTTTACTGTTAACAATCATAGTGGAGATAAAACTTTGTGTCTTGTGTTAATCACAACAATGTTCCATGTCACCACTTTATCATCATAAAGGTCATTTACAGTAATACCGTTGAGTAGGTAAATTCTAATTATATTCATCAGTCTCCAATTGTTAGATAATTAGGTTAATTGCTGATTTTTTAATTTAAAAATTGCATTCAGGCAACAACTAAATAGAAGGAAAGCAGTCCAGTGTTCCCAACCATTAGGTGGAGATTGGGGTTAGATAGAAGATGCCTTTCCCTGTTAGATCAATAGACCAGTTCTGTTCCCACACCTCTTACTCAGCAGTTAGTCTGGCACTGATAATGAAACAGAATTGTTCCAAACTCCTTTTCCTCTTTTCTTGGACACACGACAAGATTAAAGTTTCTCTTACAATCAGATTTGGCCACGTGACAGGGTTCTGGATAATGGAATGCTAGTTTAAGCAGGATGCAACATTTTTAGGCTAGCTTATACGTTTATTTAATCATATCCATCCACCAACATCCATGATCTTTCTCATTCTTTCATTGGAAGGAAACAACTGTACCACCTTGGCAGCCATGTGCTAAAGTTGGCAGAGATTCCATTAACCTGGGCCCCTGAATGACTGAGTGAAACAGAGTATCACCTACTTTTCAATAATCTGGAATTGCTCAGGGGCATTTTGTGAGCAATAAGTTTCTAGTTGTTTAAGCAATTAGAAATGTTGGGGGTGAATTTATTTCAGCAGTTACTATTATATTATTTAATGTAATTGGAGATACAGGCAAAGAGAAGGTCGTGTTTTTCTCTCTTCTTTCCAAGACAAAACTGCTAGCACTTTTATCCCTCCAATGCCTGCACTACTCCTGACTTTATTGTTATCAGCAGTTTCTACTTTATCCTATAGTAAAGGCCTAAGGGTAATAGCTCTATGCTATCCTTTCCATAGAAAATGTGGCTGAGCCTTACCCAATTTCTATTATCATATCTGAAATGGTAAAAATTACCATTTAACACTGGAGGCCCAGTTCTAAATTGACAATTTACATAATACAAAAATCATATATATCAACATTTATGAAACAGAAAACATTAGAATTGTCTGAAACCTCCAAAAGTGCTTGCTACATTTGCAGACATAGTTCTATCTAGAACAGTCAGAGCTGGTATTATATTAGATTGTTTTGGTAACCAATATTTATTCATTTTATTATAATTAAATGTCAAGAAAGGAATGTTGCTTCTGCAAATTTCAGGAATGTTTGATCTTTTGCCAATGATAACACTGACATATAATTATGCCCATTATCTGCTATATCTATTATAAACTTAACCATAAAGTAACTGTAAAATGTATCACATAGTATCCATAGGCATGAACAAAATATGAGATTTCTTAAATGCAACTTGCATCATCTCTATATGTATCTAATCTTAAGTAGGTCTTCAATTTAACTCTGCATTCCTTAAATTCAGCTGACAACCTATCTTATTTCCTGTGATAGCTCTTCCAGGCCTTTTCTACTCTTCTTAAGTGACCACCTCCAACCCTGCATTTCTCATTCTCAGTAGTTGATATTATTAAAATGATGCAGGCCATCATACATGAGTTTGCTCAAATTCTTCGACTTTTCCCCATCTTTATCTTCATTTATATATTTATTCCTCATACTTCCAATAGTATATGAATAACTTTCCATCATATCTTTCCAGCCTTGTCATATGCCACCTGGATTCTAAATACACACCCACTCTTACTCTTGATTCCATGTATTGCTGCCTCCTCCAGGTTTTTTCTATCAAAACTCCTCTTTTCCCAGATGATACAATCTTCTCTTCTCTACTATTAATTTCTTTTTCTTAGTCTAAAGCAAAATTCTACGTATCCATAAAGGCAAAAAATAAAACAAAGAAAATCATCCCTAAGGCTTCTCAATGTCATCTCATCTTCCTCCTCCTTTTCACAAACATTTAAAAGGAAAATCTACACTTTCTACTTCCTTCCCTTCCCCAGACGCTGGTTTCTTAATTATTCTTAATCTGAATAAGAAGTAGACTGGAAATTGTCAGCTGAAGATGAGCTAAGACATAGAAATAGAAGAGCAAAGGCAGGATGGTGTAAAAGGATAACATGCTTGGAGGAAAATATTTATGTTGGATGGTAAAATTGTGTACTTTCAGGGGAAGAATGGGAGAAAGGGCTGGAAAAGTAGAATAGTATATTGTATAGAGGGCTCTGAATATCAAGAACTACACAGCATATTCAGTGCTTTCATTGCAGTTATTTTTAAGCAAAAAAAAAATACCTCACAATCTTTAAAACCACCAAAATATAAGCAGAAACAATTTAAATTCAGGAAAATGGGTAAGAAAGAGACCACAGCTACTCTTCTGAGTCCCAACTCCTAGTCTTTGGCTCCATCTTGTCTCTTGTTACTGTACACTTCTGCCTTTAAAGCAGCCCTATTTCTTAATATTTTCAGTCTTGGTCACAAGAAAGATGCTAGTATTCTGCACAAAAGAACTAAAGACATGCTTATTATCAGTGTCATTTCGATAATCTAGGGACCATATTAGCACATCATTGTCTTTAACAAGATAGATAAGGCAAGGTAGATTATTCTTTTCGTCAGTCTTTCAGACACCAACATTTCAGCTGAGATAACAGATTCTTAGTTACAGAGACTAGTTGGGTCAGCAGATCCAGGTTCAAATGAATAGAGATTTCAGTTTAGTGAACAAGAGAACTATAGATGTTACCTGTGGTTAAAATTTAGCAAGCAAGATGTCACTAACTTCTTTATTAAATAGACATATGCTATGTATATGTTAAGGAGCAAGTCAAGATTCCCCTCCAGTCTCACAAAGTCAAGACAGGGTCATGGAAGTTGAAATAGACTCAAGTAAGAAAGAGACAGCTGCATATATGAAGAGCTGGAGGTTGATCTCTATGAAGGATGGCATTAGCACAGTTTATTTCCATGATATCTTTCCAGAAAGTTAAGCATTTTTTCTTTCACTATGTCATCTTTTCCAAGTACTACAGAGATACGCCACAAATCAGAACGCAGATTTGATTGGAATTGTTTTGAGTTTTTCTGACATTTGTTACATAATACAAGGTTTAAACCTTGCTAGCAATTAACTAGAATGAAATGCTTAATATAAGCTAACTTTATTGAGAACCCATATGCTTACTTTTGAAAATACAAAATGTGAAATATTTGCAGAGACACATTCTTTTACTTAGCAGACATTGTGAGGCTAGAAGGCCAGGAAAAAGTATTCAATAAAATTTCGGAATTTACCCAAATAGTAATAATTTTAAAAGGGACAAATATAAATAGTTGTATGGTCTTATCTGAGCCCAGTGTTCTAGAATGATCTAATATTCACCACAGACATGCAGATTAATCTGCACTGATGTCAACATTTCAGACATTTGGTAAGGTATTTATCTCTATTCCACTTAAAAAACAGCTCAGTGTCGTGTGTAAAAGCAGAGAGATAATTTATTTATTTGCATTTCTAAGAGAAATTTTCTGTGCCATAGGTTTCTTTAAAGGATAAATGTCTTTTTAACAGAGGCAAAACAAAATGAATAAACTGTGTATAGATTCATGAAATGCATGTCAAAATTCATAAAAATTAATATTTACAAATATTGAACTATGTCCTCTCTATTGTGTTAAAGTAGGTAATGAGAACTTCTTAACCTTGGTATCTAGTTGAGTAGTTGTTAAAAAGCTGAGATTTTTGAAAGGATATTATAAAAAATAAATATATTTATGCATTTCTTCTGCATCACTGCAGAGTTCTTTCCACCTCACCTCATTTTCCCACCTGTTTGGAAAGATATGTTCTGGCAGAGTGTCTATGACTTAATATCATTCCAACCACATACAAGTTGAATTCCAGCCTCATAGCAACAAATCTCTGGGGAATAAAACCTGGCCACATACAAAGAACATAAACTGTTCCTTCACAAGATGGCAGGTATCTGGCACATGATTTGGGTTTTATTTAAACAAACTGATTAGCAGTATCACATTGGCAAGTTCATTGTTTATAATCATTCTATTTCATTTGCCTGTAAAAAGTAGAAGCACACATTCCGTTTTATAAGCCTGGTATGAATCAATAGGGATTTTTTTCCATCAAGAAAATACTGCAGTGCTAAAAGCAAGAAGGAAAAAAGATAAGTGCAAGAGATTTTAAAGCCCACCAACACTGCTGTAAGAAGAAAGTTTCTGCTAACAATTACACCATTAACCACACTCAAACTTTTGTGGGAAAAATAATAGAGACACCAGTAAATCTCACTGGATTTCATGCCTAAAACCAGTGTAGATAAATGGACTTACATCTGAGTAGGCTCTGAATAAGAAAAAAAGGATTATTACTTTTAAATATCACTTTCAAAGGATTATTACTTTTAAATATCACTCCTTGCCAAAAGAGTCTTAGCACTTTCTCAACAAAACCAACACATTTAGCTATTTTTGAAAAAGTAAGTAATTAAACTTGTTTGATGATTGGTGTTTGATAACTGAATGTTTGAATTCAGATATTTTTAATACCAATAATGTCATTTTTATTTCCACAAGGGAAGAGCTATGAGAAATCTGTTTTCTATATCCTCTTACTCAATATCTTCCTTTCTAACCCAATCCAATGATTCTTAAACCATATCCTCAACTATTTTATGCTCTTGATTTTTCCATTTGTGTTCTCAATTCTAACCCCCACTAATGTTTTTATGATCCTTATCCATTAACCTTTTTATTCAAAGTATGGAAGGCAAAATAGCACAGTGCTTAAAAATATGAACTTGGGTACCAGACAGTACTTGGTTCAAGGCCACCCGCTCCAGCTTAGCCTCTTACACCTCATGCTTTCTCTTCTAGTACCAATCTTGCTTGGTTCTGAGGATCTATAAAGATAATGCATGTAAGTGCTTAGAACAGTGGCTGGCACAAAATAAACATGTTTTTCTATTAGTAAATCATTAGTATTTATTAGTTTTCATTGTGATTTTTGTTTATGCCTCTCCTACCCCTCTTCTGGCTTTGTATAAATTCAGTCTGTAGATATTAAATCTATCCCATTTTATTTAAATTTTTAAAAATTATTTTTAAGTAATCTCCTTTTATCTGGCTATTGTCATACCTATTTGCCATCTCATTCTACAATTTCTTGATAGAATAGGCTAAACATCCTATCCCCATAGTCTCACTTCATGTATTCCTGAATGCACTGGTTTCTACTTAGTACCCCAGCCTTTTAGAAGGCAATCTTGCATTCTCACTTTCTTCTAGCCAGTGTCGCACTAGAGCTCCAGTTATAGCTTGCTGTATACTGCTACTTAGATACACGAGTGGCCCTCAGACTCAGTAAATCTAAAATTGAAGTACTACTACCTTAGCTTTCCAACTTTCTTTTCCTCTTCATTTACCTATTCTAGTTAGCGGTACCACCACCATCCCACTGATAATACTGAAACAATAAGTATTATGATTAATTACAAAGTACAACCAGCAGTAACTAAAACTTACTAAATGTTTATTAAGTGCCATTCATTGTTCTAAGTAGTTATAAATATTAACTCAATGTTCACAAAAGTCCTATGAAGTAATTACTATTAATATTATTTGATAAAGAACAAGGGTAAGTAACTTACCCAAGGTCACACATCTAGTAAGTAGTAAAGGCAAGTATTCTACCTTCGGAAACTACACATTTAACTACCTTACTACACTGACTTCAGCATGGTGATCAGAAAGATGGCAGTCACCTTTAACTTCTCATTTTTCTTCACTTCCTTTATTGGGTTAGTACCAAATTCTGTTCTTTTTAAGTACAATTTACCTACCAAATAGATCTCTTCACATTATAATTTTTCTCACTTATATGATGGTTATACTCTTTGCTTCTAGTTATTTCCAATCTCTTCCATAACCCTTCCAAAAGGAGGTATCTAATATTAAATTCTGATTAGTTACTTCCCTGCTTCAACGATATTCACAATAGAAACTTAAGCTGAATGATACAGCCATTGCCTACTTCTTCAAAGCCAACTCTTGTCACTTTTCTTACCATATATAATGTTGCAGGAAAACAGTGATTCCAAATTAAGTCTAGGTTGTGTCCAGGGCAGAAGTTCAGGCATGTGTGATAACTTAGCAAGGTCTCTTGAGCAGAAGACTTAGAGGGCCAGTGAGCTCACAAATGACTTGATCTAGTAAAAATGCCCTAGTTATAGGAGCTGAGAAGTTATTTCAAATATAACACATTGACCATCTCTTCAACTGTTCTCTTGAACTTGAAGAAACTGTAAAACATTAGCTAACAATATTTCTTGATCAGAGGAGAGAAAATCACCTTTACTGCCCATTTTGCCACAGAATGTGTCCCACCTGGAACACTATGAGGATTCAGGGTGTTTCTGGTACTGCCTGGTGCAGTAGTAATTGTGCTTTCTGCAGCTGGAAGAAATGTGACAGCTGATCGGGAGTTATGGAGTTTGAAGAAGCAGCAATAGATAACATGGTATTTGTTGAAGCAGCAATGGCATAGCATCCAGTGAGATGTTGACAAGCCACCTACAGCCTATCAGAGGAGTCTGCTATGCCCAATAAAGCAAGTGCAGAACCTTTGAAACAGAGTTTCTTATAAGTACATCTGAGACAATACTTGATTAATCTCAGACATACCTAGGTTGCCAAGGGCCATATCAATTAGAGAGTCTAGAAGTCTAAGGTACCATAAGGTAGGAAGAAGCATCAGAATTAGAATATTAATTTTAAGTAACTTCTTCAGTACCAATAAGCTTATAGGGACTACAGAAATTTAAATTATGCCAGAAATATTAAACACTTGGTAATTTTTCAAATTTATGTGACCTTCTTGCTGTTTTTCTAACCCTTGTGATATGGTTTTGCTGTGTCCACACCCAAATCTCATCTTGAATTGTAATCCCCTTAATCCTCATGTGTTGAAGGGGGACCTGGTGGGAGGTGATTAGATCATAGGGGTGGTTTTCCCCATGCTGTTCTCATGATAGTGAGTGAGTTCTCACAAAATCTGATGGTTTTATAAGGGGCTCTTCCTGCCTCACTTCCTTCACATGCTCTCTTGGCCTGCTGCCATGTAAGATGTGCCTGCCTTCCCTTCCACCATGACTGTAAGTTTCCTGAGGCTTCTCCAGCCATGTGGAACTGTGAGTCAATTAAACTTCTTTCCTTTATAAATTACCCAGCTTGGGGTATTTCTTTATTGTGGTACAAGAATAGATTAATATACTTTGCCTGTGTTGGAAATATTTTGCAGGATATATTGTGAAGTCTTTGAAGGCAACAATCATCAACCTAAAACAGTCCTTAGTAAATAGTAGGCACCTAAAATATTTACTACACTAAATTAATAAAAACGCAGAAAAAGTCAAATTAACTTGACGTATTAATAAGTTCAAATAGAGTATTCTCATTCATATATTCATCCAGTCTTTCATTCATTCAAAAACATTCACTGACTGCTAGACACTGGGCTAGATTCTGGGAATGTAGTGGTACAAAACACAATTCTTGGCTGTAAGGAGCCCATTGTGATAGAAAATAGTGATAACAACTACTAATTTTGGGGTACTTACCCATGGGACAGGAACTCTGTTAATGTCTTTAAACGAATGATTTCATTTACATTATTTACCCCATTTTATAAAAAGTGGCCCCTCAGAGATTAAAGTGATTTTCCAGAGTCATACATAACTAGGAAGTTACAAGCCAGAATTTCAATTTGACGTCTGTGTTAGGTCAATGCTATCATTTCTCAATTTTCCATCATTCAGATATAACACTGACAATTTTTTGTCATATTTGATATTACTTCAGTTTAAACATATTGGCTTGGGCTTTTCACAAACATGAATGTCTATCCTTGGTTTGATTGATTAATTCTTGGTTTGATTGATTAATAACTTATTTTGTTCATAATATGCATTAAAATTAATACATGTACCTAAAATTAAAAGGTTTTCCTCATTCCACTCCAAATTATCTTCGGTGTCACTTT
This sequence comes from Homo sapiens, assembly GCF_000001405.40. Taxonomy (NCBI): domain Eukaryota; kingdom Metazoa; phylum Chordata; class Mammalia; order Primates; family Hominidae; genus Homo; species Homo sapiens. The sequence continues at coordinate 80,697,834 of NC_000004.12, read as the reverse complement.
GTTTAGACACATCTTAGGATATACTATCCTATGCCATGTTAGCTCACACAAAATTAGAGGACCACATTGAAAGCTGGATGGCAGCAGCCACAAATCTTACCCTTGACTGTTAGATTATGCTAAATCTAATTGTATGATCGCTCTTACATTTCACCACGGTCCAAAGCCACTACTCAAAAGAACTAAGAGATGGCCATGATCCATCCCAGGGAGTAGTCCCCACTACCATCACCTGCTAAGGCTTAGCCTAAAGCTTATAGGTCCAGAACACCAAGTCCAAAAGATTAAGAACAATTGATTCTCACTTAATTCTGTCTTTTGCTATTGTTGCTTTGTTTAGTTTGTTTCTTTGTTTAGGAATCAGGATATTAGTGGCTCCAGTATCTGACTAGAAGAGGTGAGGCAATAGGGTTATAAGAGTAGCAGGGATTTAGAAAACACCCAAAACAATGATTGTACAAACATATTTGCTTCTAAAATTATCTTTAAACCTATAAAATAGGTTTAAACCTATAAAATAAGATAGGTTAAAGATAGGTTTATATCCTATAAAAATATTCAACCCTTTAAGGCCTTATTTAACAGGGATCTCTAATTCTGTTATTTCATACAGATTGTTTTTCTGATAAGTAGAATTTTTTTTTTCAAATTTTTGTAGACACAGTGTCTCACTATGTTTCCCAGGCTGGTCTCGTACTCCTAGGTTCAAGCAATCCTCCTGCCTTGGCCTCCCAAAGTGCTGGGATTACAGGCATGAGCCACTGCTCCCAGCAGAAATAACTCTTAAGAAATGACTATTTTTTTAATGATTTAACTGCTTTGATTAAAATCTTTACAAAAATATTAGACCTTTATATGTCTCAAGTGCACTGAACATCTTTTTCATTGACAAGAGAATATGATCCTAACTGCTTGTCTATGCATAAAGATCACATATGATTTGCTTCTGGCTACTTCCCCAACTTCATTTCATCCTATTCTTCCCAGCATGCATCACTGTCCAAGCACATTGGACTTAGTATTCTTTAGACACCTTAAGTTCATTTATGCCTCCAGGTCTTCGTACTTTCCATTGTTCTTGTAGCCATTCAGACTTCACCTCAATGTCACTGTCTCAGAGGAGCCTTCCATAATCATCCTTTGAATGTTGCCCCTCACTCTTTATTAAACACCCTGTTTTTATTCCCTTTTACATTTATCACATGAAATTATTAAGTTTTTAAAAAACTTATGTGTTTATTGTCTGTCTCCTTGAGTAGAATATACATTAAGTAAAAAGAGTATTTTTACTATTGTGCTACTTTATTTTTGTTTTATTTATTTATTATTTTTATTTGTTTTTCTGTCTCTTATTGTTATTTGATTGCCATCTATCACTTTTAAAAGGATGTTTACCTCTCCCATGCTGCAGAAAGACTATAATTATTCTTCATAAACATAACTTATTTTCCTGTCTATTCTCTGAACAAATGACTCATTTAAAATTAGTACAGTTAAGGCATGGTGGATTAAATTCTACTTCTTCTTTTTTTTTTTTTTTTGAGACGGAGCTCTGTTGTCCAGGCTGGAGTGCAGTGGTGTGACTGGCTCACTGCAACCTCCGCCTCCCAGGTTCAAGCAATTCTCCTGCCTCAGCCTCCCGAGTAGCTGGAATTACACGTGCGTGCCACCATGCCAGGCTAATTTTTTGTATTTTTAGTAGAGATGGGGTTTCACCAAGCTAGCCAGGCTGGTCTCAAATGTCTGACCTCATGATCCACCCACCTCGGCCTCCCAAAGTGCTGGGATTACAGGTGTGAGCCACCACACCCGGCCTCTACTTCTCTTTTAAAAATTCTATATATGACAGGCTTTATCCCCAAGATAGTATAGTATTTAAGAAAACAGCTGGGCGCTGTGGCTCATGCTTGTAATCCTAGCACTTTGGGAAGCCAAGGTAAGCAGATTGATTGAGTTTGAGACAAGCCTGGGCAACACAGTGAAATCTTATCTCTATTAAAAAAATACAAAAGTTATCCTGGTGTCTTGGTGTGTGCCAGTAGGCTGAGGTGGGATGACCACTTGAGCCCAGAAGGTTGAGTGTGCAGTGAGCCATGATTATGCCACTGCACTCCAGCCTGGGCAACAGAGCAAGACCCTGTCTCAAAAAAAAAAAAAAAAGGATGATAAGGATAAGATCATAAGATCCTCAGTATTTTGTACTGTAGTAGAGCATATGTGGTCTACACTGGTTGATTTTTGATACAGTCAATTATAGCTATACAAAAGGAGAGGCTTATTTAACGATGTAATGGTGGGAAACAATACAAACAATGTTTACACAAAAGCCCACATCCATTCGGGTCTTATTCTCCATGTAGATGAGTAGGACACAGCTTTGTCCCATCTGGGTAGTGAAGGTATCTATTGAAAATGGCAATCAGACTTCACACTGAACTATATGTGAGAAAGTTATTTCTGGAATAAGATTAGTAGAAAGAAGCTAGGTGGTCAAAAACAAAATTAAGCAATAAGGCTTTAGCAGTCCATAAATAATCACTAGGCTTTACTTGGAAGATATGATAATGATAATGGAATTGATTTTCTAGTATATCTAGAAGTATCCAAAATAGTCCATGCTAGCTATTATTTAACAAAGTATCAAATCTTTATCCAAATGAAGGATGAGATGTGGACTTAATATAGAAATACTATAAATACTATCCTGTCCCCAAATATGGAAACCATCCATATATTTGTATTATCTTGGCTTTCATACCTACTTCATTTTTTAAAATGATGCTACTATGAGGCATACCAAAATACCAGAGTGTAAAGGGTTTGTTAGAAAACCCTAATGATTTGGTCACTGCTAGCACAACTTTATCCCCAAAAATCTGGCTCCTGCATCTAACAAAAATTCAGGTTATGGAGAATCATCTAAGCCATGTAAATGAGGCTTTTATTTCTGTTTTGAATTCTCAAATTTATAATATATTCATTCTGCACAATTCAATCACAGTAATTTTTTCAAAGTGTAAAATTCAATACACATCAAAAACAAACTAGCAATTTCACCTTAATTCATTCTGTAAATAATTTGAAACATCCTAAGAATTGAAAATATGCTTCTAACCCACAATTGACATTTAAAGATAATTAAATACAATTATTCCTATTGAAAGCTGAAACATTTGAAAGAGAGCTATTACCAAGTTAGAATTCAAGATATCAATTAAATACCATTTTATTCTAGCAAATAACAACTGAATTCATAAACACTACACAGACATTGGCAACTCTTCTGCATACCTGTTACTGCATATTATCATGAAGCTTAAATACTCAGAGTATTTGTTAAGTCATCTTCTTTGAAACTATGTTAGTCATCAAAGTTGAGAGCATAATATAGATATGCATTGTTCTTTCTTACTGAGAAAACATTACCCTATTTAACTAGTGGTGACCAGCATTTGGCCTTGCAGAATAAGAACATAAAACATAGACTCCACTCTCAGTCAGGTGGCATGGGTGTTGAGCTTTTGCTTTTCTTTAGAATTGGCAGGAAAAGAGCTGATGAACGCCTGTCTTGTGAGACGTATGTACTGACCTCAAAGGGTGAAATGCAGGGTACTATTTATTCAGGTGAAAAAATACAAAGCTTCATGTGTTGTTCAACGGTGATCAAACAAAGAAGATTCCAAAGAATGCACTGCACATGTGACTTTCAGAAATCAACTGTTGTATTTCCAATATTAAATTGTAAGCCAGAAACACCAAAGGTTTTAGGGTAGTGGCAATTTTACACATAATAATTTTACAAAGAGAAGATTTTTCACAATCTTTGCATATAAACAATAGGGAAATCATAGGAATGATTTCCTCAGTGACTACATTTGGCTTTTTATGAAAGTCATAAGGGCAATAATCTACTGAGTTTAATGAATAAATTTTACAAATTTTTATTGCAAAATTTCTAATGATGGAAGCTAATGCTCTGTGTTTTTTTTTTTATTAACAGATGACATTGCTTTAATATTCAAATTATATACTGGAGATTCTTCACATTAACTGGGTATTCCCTCTTTCTCTGACCAAGCCACGCTTAGATCACTCAGTACTGCTTTAGAATGCCAGTTCTTTCTTTTTTTTTTTTAAATTATTATTATACTTTAAGTTTTAGGGTACATGTGCACAATGTGCAGGTTAGTTACATATGTATACATGTGCCATGCTGGTGCACCCACTAATTCGTAATCTAGCATTAGGTATATCTCCCAATGCTATCCCTCCCCCCTCCCCCACCCCACCACAGTCCCCAGAGTGTGATGTTCCCCTTCCTGTGTCCATGTGTTCTCATTGTTCAGTTCCCACCTATGAGTGAGAATATGCGGTGTTTGGTTTTTTGTTCTTGCGATAGTTTACTGAGAATGATGATTTCCAATTTCATCCATGTCCCTACAAAGGACATAAACTCATCATTTTTTATGGCTGCATAGTATTCCATGGTGTATATGTGCCACATTTTCTTAATCCAGTCTATCATTGTTGGACATTTGGGTTGGTTCCAAGTCTTTGCTATTGTGAATAATGCCACAATAAACATACGTGTACATGTGTCTTTATAGAAGCATGATTTATAGTCCTTTGGGTATATACCCAGTAATGGGATGGCTGGGTCAAATGGTATTTCTAGTTCTAGATCCCTGAGGAATCGCCCACACTGACTTCCACAGTGGTTGAACTAGTTTACAGTCCCACCAACAGTGTAAAAGTGTTCCTATTTTCCACATCCTGTCCAGCACCTGTTGTTTCCTGACTTTTTAATGATTGCCATTCTAACTCGTGTGAGATGGTATCTCATTGTGGATTTGATTTGCATTTCTCTGATGGCCAGTGATGGTGAGCATTTTTTCATGTGTTTTTTGGCTGCATAAATGTCTTCTTTTGAGAAGCGTCTGTTCATGTCCTTCACCCACTTTTTGATGGGGTTGTTTGTTTTTTTCTTGTAAATTTGTTTGAGTTCATTATAGATTCTGGATATCAGCCCTTTGTCAGATGAGTAGGTTGCGAAAATTTTCTCCCATTTTGTTGGTTGCCTGTTCACTCTGATGGTAGTTTCTTTTGCTGTGCAGAAGCTCTTTAGTTTAATTAGATCCCATTTGTCAATTTTGTCTTTGGTTGCCATTGCTTTTGGTGTTTTAGACATGAAGTCCTTGCCCATGCCTATGTCCTGAATGGTAATGCCTAGGTTTTCTTCTAGGGTTTTTTATGGTTTTAGGTCTAACGTTTAAGTCTTTAATCCATCTTGAATTGATTTTTGTATAAGGTGTAAGGAAGGGATCCAATTTCAGCTTTCTACATATGGCTAGCCAGTTTTCCCAGCACCATTTATTAAATAGGGAATCCTTTCCCCATTGCTTGCTTTTCTCAGGTTTCTCAAAGATCAGATAGTTGTAGATATGTGGCGTTATTTCTGAGGGCTCTGTTCTGTTCCATTGATCTATATCTCTGTTTTGGTACCAGTACCATGCTGTTTTGGTTACTGTAGCCTTGTAGTATAGTTTGAAGTCAGGTAGTGTGATGCCTCCAGCTTTGTTCTTTTGGCTCAGGATTGACTTGGTGATGCGGGCTCTTTTTTGGTGCCATATAAACTTTAAGGTAGTTTTTCCCAATTCTGTGAAGAAAGTCCTTGGTAGCTTGATGGGGATGGCATTGAATCTGTAAATTATCTTGGGCAGTATGGCCATTTTCATGATATTGATTCTTCCTACCTATGAGCATAGAATGCTCTTCCATTTGTTTGTATCCTCTTTTATTTCCTTGAGCAGTGGTTTGTAGTTCTCCTTGAAGAGGTCCTTCACATCCCTTGTAAGTTGGATTCCTAGGTATTTTATTCTCTTTGAAGCAATTGTGAATGGAAGTTCACTCATGATTTGGCTCTCTGTTTGTCTGTTGTTGGTGTATAAGAATGATTGTGATTTTTGTACATTGATTTTGTATCCTGAGACTTTGCTGAATTTGCTTATCAGCTTAAAGAGATTTTGGGCTGAGACAATGGGGTTTTCTAGATATACAATCATGTCAACTGCAAACAGGGACAATTTGACTTCCTCTTTTCCTAATTGAATACCCTTTATTTCCTTCTCCTGCCTGATTGCCCTGGCCAGAACTTCCAACACTATGTTGAATAGGAGTGGTGAGAGAGGGCATCCCTGTCTTGTGCCAGTTTTCAAAGGGAATGCTTCCAGTTTTTGCCCATTCAGTATGATATTGGCTGTGGGTTTGTCATAGATAGCTCCTATTATTTTGAAATACGTCCCATCAATACCTAATTTATTGAGAGTTTTTAGCATGAAGCATTGCTGAATTTTGTCAAAGGCCTTTTCTGCATCTATTGAGATAATCATGTGGTTTTTGTCTTTGGTTCTGTTTATATGCTGGATTACATTTATTGATTTGCATATATTGAACCAGCCTTGCATCCCAGGGATGAAGCCCACTTGATCATGGTGGATAAGCTTTTTGATGTGCTGCTGGATTCGGTTTGCCAGTATTTTATTGAGGATTTTTGCATCAATGTTCATCAAGGATATTGGTCTAAAATTCTCTTTTTTGGTTGTGTCTCTGCCCAGCTTTGGTATCAGGATGATGCTGGCCTCATAAAATGAGTTAGGGAGGATTCCCTCTTTTTCTATTGATTGGAATAGTTTCAGAAGGAATGGTACCTGTTCCTCCTTGTACCTCTGGTAGAATTCGGCTGTGAATCCATCTGGTCCTGGACTCTTTTTGGTTGGTAAGCTATTGATTATTGCCACAATTTCAGAGCCTGTTATTGGTCTATTCAGAGATTCAACTTCTTCCTGGTTTAGTCTTGGGATAGTGTATGTGTCAAGGAATTTATCCATTTCTTCTAGATTTTCTAGTTTATTTGCATAGAGGTGTTTGTAGTATTCTCTGATGGTAGTTTGTATTTCTGTGGGATCAGTGGTGATATCCCCTTTATCATTTTTATTGCGTCTATTTGATTCTTCTCTCTTTTCTTCTTTATTAGTCTTGCTAGCGGTCTATCAATTTTGTTGATCCTTTCAAAAAACCAGCTCCTGGATTCATTAATTTTTTGAAGGGTTTTTTGTGTCTCTATTTCTTTCAGTTCTGCTCTGATTTTAGTTATTTCTTGCCTTCTGTTAGCTTTTGAATGTGTTTGTTCTTGCTTTTCTAGTTCTTTTAATTGTGATGTTAGGGTGTCAATTTTGGATCTTTCCTGCTTTCTCTTGTGGGCATGTAGTGCTATAAATTTCCCTCTACACACTGCTTTGAATGCGTCCCAGAGATTCTGGTATGTTGTGTCTTTGTTCTCGTTGGTTTCAAAGAACATCTTTATTTCTGCCTTCATTTCGTTATGTACCCAGTAGTCACTCAGGAGCAGGTTGTTCAGTTTCCCTATAGTTGAGTGGTTTTGAGTGAGTTTCTTAATCCTGAGTTCTAGTTTGATTTCACTGTGGTCTGAGAGATAGTTTGTTATAATTTCTGTTCTTTTACATTTGCTGAGGAGAGCTTTACTTCCAAGTATGTGGTCAATTTTGGAATAGGTGTGGTGTGGTGCTGAAAAAAATGTATATTCTGTTGATTTGGGGTGGAGAGTTCTGTAGATGTCTATTAGATCTGCTTGGTGCAGAGCTGAGTTCAATACCTGGGTATCCTTGTTGATTTTCTGTCTCGTTGATCTGCCTAATGTTGACAGTGGGGTGTTAAAGTCTCCCATTATTAATGTGTGGGAGTCTAAGTCTCTTTGTAGGTCACTCAGGACTTGCTTTATGAATCTGGGTGCTCCTGTGTTGGGTGCATATATATTTAGGATAGTTAGCTCTTCTTGTTGAATTGATCCCTTTACCATTATGTAATGGCCTTCTTTGTCTCTTTTGATCTTTGTTGGTTTAAAGTCTGTTTTATCAGAGACTAGGATTGCAACCCCTGCCTTTTTTTGTTTTCCATTTGCTTGGTCGACCTTCCTCCATCCTTTTATTTTGAGCCTATGTGTGTCTCTGCATGTGAGATGGGTTTCCTGAATACAGCACACTGATGGGTCTTGACTCCTTATCCAATTTGCCAGTCTATGTCTTTTAATTGGAGCATTTAGTCCATTTACATTTAAAGTTAATATTGTTATGTGTGAATTTGATCCTGTCATTATGATGTTAGCTGGTTATTTTGCTCGTTAGTTGATGCAGTTTCTGCCTAGTCTCAATGATCTTTACAATTTGGCATGATTTTGCATCGGCTGGTACCAGTTGTTCCTTTCCATGTTTAGCACTTCCTTCAGGAGCTCTTGTAGGGCAGGCCTGGTGGTGACAAAATCTCTCAGCATTTGCTTGTCTGTAAAGTATTTTATTTCTCCTTCACTTTTGAAGCTTAGTTTGGCTGGATATGAAATTCTGTGTTGAAAATTCTTTTCTTTGAGAATGTTGAATATTGGCCCCCACTCTGTTCTGGCTTGTAGAGTTTCTGCCGAGAGATCCGCTGTTAGTCTGATGGGCTTCCCTTTGAGGGTAACCCGACCTTTCTCTCTGGCTGCCCTTAACATTTTTTCCTTCATTTCAACGTTGGTGAATCTGACAATTATGTGTCTTGGAGTTGCTCTTCTCGAGGAGTATCTTTGTGGAGTTCTCTGTATTTCCTGAATCTGAATGTTGGCCTGCCTTGCTAGATTGGGGAAGTTCTCCTGGATAATATCCTGCAGAGTGCTTTCCAACTTGGTTCCATTCTCCCCGTCACTTTCAGGTACACCAATCAGACGTATATTTGGTCTTTTCACATAGTCCCATATTTCTTGGAGGCTTTGCTCGTTTCTTTTTATCTTTTTTCTCTAAACTTCCCTTCTCGCTTCATTTCATTCATTTCATCTTCCATCGCTGATACCCTTTCTTCCAGTTGATCGCATCGGCTCCTGAGGCTTCTGCATTCTTCACGTAGTTCTCGAGCCTTGGTTTTCAGCTCCATCAGCTCCTTTAAGCACTTCTCTGTATTGGTTATTCTAGTTATACATTCTTCTAAATTTTTTTCAAAGTTTTCAACTTCTTTGCCTTTGGTTTGAATGTCCTCCCGTAGCTCGGAGTAATTTGATCATCTGAAGCCTTCTTCTCTCAGCTTCTCAAAGTCATTCTCCGTCCAGCTTTGTTCCGTTGCTGGTGAGGAACTGCGTTCCTTTGGAGGAGGATAGGTGCTGTGCTTTTTAGAGTTTCCAGTTTTTCTGCTCTGTTTTTTCCCCATCTTTGTGGTTTTATCTACTTTTGTCTTTGATGATGGTGATGTACAGATGGGTTTTTGCTGTGGATGTCCTTTCTGTTTGTTAGTTTTCCTTCTAACAGACAGGACCCTCAGGTGCAGGTCTGTTGGAGTACCCGGCCGGCTGTGTGAGGTGTCAGTGTGCCCCTGCTGGGGGGTGCCTCCCAGTTAGGCTGCTCATGGGTCAGGGGTCAGGGACCCACTTGAGGAGGCATTCTGCCCGTTCTCAGATCTCCAGCTGCATGCTGGGAGAACCACTGCTCTCTTCAAAGCTGTCAGACAGGGACACTTAAGTCTGCAGAGGTTACTGCTGTCTTTTTGTTTGTCTGTGCCCTGCCCCCAGAGGTGGAGCCTACAGAGGCAGGCAGGCCTCCTTGAGCTGTGGTGGGTTCCACTCTGTTCGAGCTTCCCGGCTGCTTTGTTTACCTAAGCAAGCCTGGGCAATGGCGGGCGCCCCTCCCCCAGCCTCGCTGCCGTCTTGCAGTTTGATCTCAGACTGCTGTGCTACCAATCAGCGAGACTCCGTGGGTGTAGGACCCTCCGAGCCAGGTGCGGGACACAATCTCCTGGTGCGCCGTTTTTTAAGCCCTTCGGAAAAGCGCAGTATTCGGGTGGGAGTGACCCTTTCTTCCAGGTGCCGTCTGTCACCCCTTTCTTTGACTATGAAAGGGAACTCCCTGACCCCCCTGTGCTTCCCCAGTGAGGCAATGCCTCGCCCTGCTTCGGCTTGCGCACGGTGCGCGCACCCACTGACCTGCGCCCACTGTCTGACACTCCCTAGTGAGATGAACCCGGTACCTCAGATGGAAATGCAGAAATCACCTGTCTTCTGCGTCGCTCACGCTGGGAGCTGTAGACCGGAGCTGTTCCTATTCGGCCATCTTGCCTCCTCCCTCCAGAATGCCCTGCTCTGTGTTTTAGACAGCCTTCAGATGAATAAAAATGGTCACTAAATTCTATCATGTCAATCTGATCAGGATGTAATCAACAAATTATTTACAAAGCATGTACATGCTTTTTCAGTGTTGGATACAAGACTCAAACCCTGATCTCAAAGAATTTACAACTGCAATGGCTCACCTCAGTTGAAATTCTCCCTCAGTTTATCCTTAAAATTTTCTACAATTGCAATTTTAGCTAGTAATTTTATCTTCCATAGGTCTCAGTTTTCTTATTTATAAAATGAGGACATTAAGATGGATCATTTACAAAGCTCCTATTAGGTATGAAATTCTGAGATACTATAAAAAAAAACTTCAAGAGTTCTAAGGCTGAGGAGATCACGAGTGGTAGAGCTGGGGTGTGACACGGGAGTGTGAAATATGGGGATTTAATAAACAGAAAGAAGAGAGAAGCACATTCCAGGGAAGTTGAATTGAGAGAGCTCAGGTTAGAGGCAAGAAGTCTTGTGATGGGATGTACTGGCTTGAGTGGAGATTCATATTGGAGATCAGTAGGAGAGAAAGTTGGCTGGTAAGTTGGGCCAGATGTTGGAATGACTTGAATGTCTAGCTGGGGTTCAGGTTTTGTTTAACAGGCAAAAATGTTTTCTAAGGAAGAAGAGTAACATTTGCAAAGTATTTGCCGTTGGAATTTATAAGACTGACATATATGGGTATATTAGAGGGAATACATCTAATTTGAAAGCTATAGGAATGTAGGAACAGGTATATAAGACTCATCAGTCAGGAGGTTTCAGCTGGAAGTGTAAAGGAAGGAACAGAAATGTTATACCACGCACATGCCACCAAATCACTGTGCTGTAGTTTTCATAGGCATCTTTGGCAGGAATTTGTCCATATTTTCATTCTGCAAGACAGCTGCTTCACATCACAAGAGAAATCTACGCTCAAGAAAGGCCATCCTCCTGGTTAAGCACCAAAGAAAGATTAATAATTATCTTCTACCAAAATCTTCTGGCTCCTTGGAATTTGGTGCTGCATTCATTTCCTGCCACTATACTGTGAACCCCACAGTTGATTAACAGCGGTAAAAGCATGAAATTATGAGAACTCGGGCAGCATTTCTATATTCAGTAGGATTTGTATAAATATAATAAATGGAAGATTTGTTTAGTTCTCCTGATGTTTTGAAGAAGTCAGAGAGTAACACTTGCAACACATATGAAAGTATTTTTATAACATAGCCTCAAAAAAGAGGCAAAAGAAAGCACAGAAATCTAGAGAAGCATAATCCACCAAGTGGCCTGACACTCTCTGAGCCAAAGGCTCCTCCCTTCTTCTGCTCTCTAAGCCCTCTTTTCATCATAGACATAAGTCAAGAAATAATAGCATCTCTTTGGTGTGGGAATGGCCAGACAGAATTCATGAGCAATTGCCACTCATGAGTAGAAGGTTATGCAATGTTTATTTCACTATTAGGGTAACAATCTAAGGAGTTCTTTTAGGGTTTGATTCCAATAGCATTAATTTTTTTTTTTCATTAAAGTTCCCATGGATTTATTTAATCTTCAACATGTATGCTATACTTGGTTGGTCAGTGTAAATTTTCAATTAAACTGTGAAAATCGTTCTTAGCATCTTACATCTGGGGTTCTTTTTCTAACTTAGTTCCCACAAGAAGATGAAATATATTAAGAACCTGAATCATTCTGTATTACTTGTGCCAGATACACTATGTAGATCCCATGGCAGGCATATTTAATGAGGGAATCAATTTCTGCCTCAGCCCTAATTTGGCCTTTCCCAGTGTCCAATATGTTTCTCTCAAATGAACTGGTCCATGGGGACCTTCAAAAAGTCAGGGTGTGTGAAGAGAAGGAACAGGAAAAAAAATTCAGCATTATGACAGTTTTCTGCAAGCTTATTTTTTACAAAGTTATGTCAATTGAACTCCCTGGTTTAAACTAACCAGAGCACAGGCACCTTAATTAATCAAAAAATTCCCTTTAATACCAATTTGCTCTCTCTCACCCACCCCCCACCCCACACACAACCATTCCACTGTGGAGTAACATATTTCTGCATTGTCCTGCATATGGTCTAAATTAGCACCTGCATAGTTCAGTTATTAAATGAAAAACAGCTCTTTACTTGACCTATAGAGTTTTTGTATACAAGAACCTATCCAACAGCATTATGTCTTCCCTTATCAGATGTGTGTGGTATGACATAATGAATGTAACACTTCAGTGCAATTGGCAAGGTTTCAGTTCCCAAGCACAGGGTCACATTTCCCTGTGCATTGTTTTGAAACCAGACATTCTGCATTGGGTAGCTAATGTTGAAGCCCTGGATTTTTCCCTCAGAGATCTCAAAGCAAACCTGAGAAACTAGTAACCCAAATTTAATAACAGCCAAAAAATATATTCACTGAACAAGAGCTTCTTAGAATAAGTAATGAAAACTCCAGAGAAATGTTAGGTGCATGTGTGGGGCCAGCCCAAGAGTCTCTTTTGTCTGAAAATTGTTAAAGGATGATAGCATTGCATAGAGTATTTAATTCTGATTTTAAGAATAAGTTTCCTGTTTGTTGTCTTGATAAAGCAGCATCCAGATCCAAATTTTCAATGATTTTCTAATATATTTAAATTATATGTAATTACAGAAAATAATACATACATTATTGTACCGTTTATATGAAGTTTACTATTTTTCCTTTCTAAGTTTTAAAAATTTGTTAGTCTTTAAATTGGGGACAAACATAATATACACATATATCTGAAGCACCTGGGCTTAACAAACAGAGATACATCATTTTGAGACTGTATAAGTAGGCTTGAGAATATACAGAAAGATGTACATTAATTTACTCTGAAAAAAAAAGCATGACAGTGACTGTAATGTGAATTTTTAATGATGTAAATGATTAGTATTTCTGGCAAATAGTGGTTAAACTGTATCCATTCATTAAAGAACAACAACAACAAAAAAAAGATTTTAGAACAGATGAGGTCTAGTTTAGATACTATAATGACTCTTTGATTCTAATGCATTAAACCAGTGTTTAATAGGTAGAAATATTTCTTAAAATAGTCATCTCAGGCCGGGCGCAGTGGCTCACGCCTGTAATCCCAGCAGCACTTTGGGAGGCCGAGGCGGGTGGATCACGAGGTCAGGAGATCGAAACCATCCTGGCTAACGCGGTGAAACCCCGTCTCTACTAAAAAAATACAAAAAATTAGTCGGGCGTGGTAGCAGGCGCCTATAGTCCCGGCTACTCAGGAGGCTGAGGCAGGAGAATGGTGTGAACCTGGGAGGCGGAGCTTGCAGTGAGCCAAGATCGCACCACTGCACTCAGCCTGGGCAACAAAGTGAGGCTCCGTCCCCCCCCCCCAAAAAAAAGAAGTCATCTTAGAGTTAATAACAGAAATAAAAACGAACAGAAAAAGTCTTAAGATGTTCTTAAACAAAGAGCAATGGTCACATACACCTGAAAGCTTACATCCCAATTAATTATTGTATAACAGAAAGAACATAATCGCTTTGGCAAAAATTTAGATATGGACAACTGTAATAGGCAAGAATAGGCTTATCTCTCATGTAAAACTATACTGGAGTCAACAGAACTTCAGTTTAGAAAGTACAATTTTAAATATACAGAATTGAAGTCTATAAGATCCTGAAAGTTTTAGAAATGGAATTATCTGCCAAATAATAAGATATTAGAAGAAATGTACACTCAAACTCAACAAAGGTTCATAATAGAGAAAATGAAATGCACTAGATTGCTTTGATAACACGTAAGCATTTTTAAACAAATATTTTTTAGGCATCTGCTGTGGATAAGGTACTGTGTAAATAGTACATGCTTGATAAATATTTCATAAACGTTGTTATATCTCAAATCCAATTATATCTCCAGAAACACAAAAACCATACACCATTAAAACATGTATAAGTTTACTTATTTCCAAGGTATGTGCTATTCCTATTTTCAAAAACTAGCATTATCAAAGGGTTACAAGAGACTTACTTTGAGCAGTTAAGTAGTAAACATATGGAACACACCAACTTAAAGAGTTAAACTAAAAAATAAATATGTGCAAGAGATATTTTATTAAATTTGTCATCAATGGATCCATAATAGGTTAGTGAAAGAAGATAGATATTTTCCAGGTATACTTGTAAGTTTTATGTTATAAAATAAATATCAGACTCCCCTGTTAAACATCCCTTGGAAATGACAGAATAAGAAAATATTAGATTAAATAACCAAAAGGAACTTATGCAGAACTTTTGACATTATGAAAATTCACATATCTGGCACTAGATTTTGTTAACAAGAAGCATAAGAACCTTTAGAGATTTAAGAACTGAATAAATTAATTAACCCACCTGTACAGAGGAGAACGTATGGGGATGCCTTCTGAGATGTTTTAGAGCTTTGCAAATCAATAATTATTTATAAAGAATTCACATTTACATTGTATTCTGCATAACTTTCCCCTTCCCACCACCATCACCACATCAGTCCATGGAATAGTAAATTCATTCTTATCTTGGAGATAGAGGTGTTATAGAAGAAAAGCAGAAAGAACTTAACAAAATCTGTGGACCAGGTGAAGAAAAATGGGATTAATGAGAGGTAATACATGATCAATTAATCAATGACCCTTACAGAATGTTGAATGATGAATTGATATAGCAAATTGGAAGCTTCATGGAAAAAGACCTCAGGGTTCCGTGCTTGGTACCAATCTGTTCATCATTTTATCTATAATCAGGATGATGTCACTGGAGGTATTATCGAATGGCAGGTCTCAAGAGCTAGGAAGAAGTTTTAATATGTGGGATGACAGAAACAAGACTGGAAGGAGGCCTAATGGGTGAGAATGATAGAATGAAACTTGAAAAGTGAAATCTAAGAGGAATAGGCATTAAATGCAGTCTTTGGTCTTATAATAAAGGGTGTAAGATCTAGCCTACCTAAGCAGTAAAAATGTGACTTTGGGGAAAGAGACTTAACCTTTTAAGTACTTGTTCCCTTATCTATGTGATGGAAGTAAGAGTAAGGTTGTTACAAAAAAAAAAAATGTGGTATGCATGTAAAATGTACACTGCTTAGCATTTAGTAGGGGCTGGAAAAATTTTAGATAGAAAATTTAGCTGCTGTTATTAGACACCATTTATAACCAAAGGGGTTGGTTGAATTGATGGAATACTAGGCATGATTAATCACGTAAGACTGTTGTTTCCTCTTCCTTTAGTATTTTTTCCCTTTCCCCCAAACAAGAAAACAGATAGGGGAGAAGGTAGGTTCAAAAGAGTAAAAAGTAAACAAAACAGATCACAGCTCCCTTCCCCAAAGGTAAAGTGAGGCTTTATCTAATAATAATAGTTGCACATGACACTAAAGATTAGATTTAGAACACACTGGGCTTTTAAGTACTGAGCATGAATTTGAATTACCATAAAACTATTTTTATGGATGATGACATTAGAAAACTATGTCTATGATATTGTCCAGAGAAAAAGCGGGCAGATCCCACAGAATAAATCTGAAAACACTTTTGGTGAAAAATAAAATGAATCTTTGCTGTATATACCACTGAATCCAGCCCATTCATTAAGCCTATTGCTCCTCTTTCTTCTTCACATGTATCCCAATAACACCTTGTATCCTCATTCTCTACCAACTCCTGAGGTGGTAAATTTCCAAGGCTTGCTCCAATGTTCTAGAGATTTCTGGTGGGTTACAGTGCTCTAGATCTTGAATTCTCAAGGGCTGCCTTTGATTTATGCTACATGAATGTAGACATAAAAATAGCCCTTCTCCAGTTTCCACACATCAAAATGTTTCCCCACAAAGTATTCATGGGCTTAGAAGACTTTACAGAATATTTGATAGTCACTGCTCAGGATCACATTATGCATCTTATACATTTTGCCATCTGTTAAATTACTTTTGGCTAAGCCTATGCCACATTACATTCTTTTCAAATTTGATTCTGTTTTTATGCTTCTCCTTTTTTTCTTTTAACACTTTAGAAATATTTCTGTCTTTCTGCTGCTTCATCTCTAGGTTCCTGGGCAACTAAAGAAGTGGGTAGCTAATTCTGGTTCTGATGCCTAAGTAGAAATGTCCTCTCATGCCCAAGTTCCCAGCATTTTAGTCCCAAACTTTGCAGTTCTACAGGCTTTCCAACTTCTTTTCTTCATTGATTTCTCAGTTTTTTTTTTTGCCTCTGGCACTAACTTCTAGTGATTTCTCTTGTGTACCTGACTCATTCCTTTCTGCACACCTGGGTACAGCTTGTCTTTCATCCTTCGTTAAACTTCCACATCATCAATCTCCTAATGGATGGAACATTAACAGACATATGCATATGCAGAATTCACAATGAGATTTCCTCTGTCACAGGAGGGGATACATATAGTACATATTCAATAGAGAGAGGGGCTATTTTTCAAAACAATAACAGTTACAAGGATTAGTGGGGGGATCAGATTAAAACACTATCATGCTGAGTTGACAAATATTACACTTCTTATAAAATTTTAGAGTTGAATTGGTACAGACACAACCTGAGAACAATGTTCTTCAAAAGAAGACTAAAAGCCTTCTTCCCTTGCCTTGCCTCCACTAAGCCCCTAGATACTTCCAAGGCTACCATACAACCTCCTTAGGGTTGGCCCAGGAGAAGAGAGGAGACTTGAAAACATGATCCTTGACACTGAGCTCTCCATTCCTTTCTGCAGTCTGCAACCCATTTCAATAACCTCCTAGATCCAAAAGGGGCAGGCTTCTCTTTTACATCCTTCAATTAATAACCTTGTTCTTGAATTTCACTTCATGGCTGAGAGTGTATAGTAGACTGGTGGACTATGGGAGAGATTTCACAATTAGGTTTTCCTTGCCTGGGCCTTAATAATGCTAAATGAAGGTTAAAGGAATTTAGAAAATTCTTTCTTCTCAAACTTTACGTTTCAAGTTTTTACTGTAAAAATCCCATGTGGAACATCAGAATGTTGCTCTTTTTTTCTTCAGTCTTTCCTCATCCTCTATGAAACCATCTTTGTCCAATAGGCAGATGAGCATCTCTTCTACTTAGAAGGCAGGAAAAAAAGCTTATTGTTATTTCCAAGATATTGCCCTTGTTACAAAATAATTTAATCTGATGTGTCGTTGGGCTATTTTAGAGAAGGTATCGAGATGAAAATATGAAAACAAAGTTCTAAGGAAATATCCAGATAAAAATATATATAAAAAAACCTTGGAGAAGATATCCAAATGAAAATATGAAAATAAAGTTCTGAGATTTACGCTAGAAGTATAAACTGAGAAACTGAGGAATTATTTAAATGGAAATTAAGATTTCGTCCAGAGGTTGACTGTTACTGTCAAGAAACTGTAGACAATGAAAGGGAGGGGGTTAAGAGGCACTAGAATAGGTCTTGGAAAGATGTCTAAATTAAAGATTTGATAGAAAGAGAACAGACAGTGAAGATCGGCAATTTTTTTAAATGAGAGTTGACTTCTGGTTCCAGAGAAGAGGCAGTAGACCTATTCCTCCCTATATCACCACCTGACAATTGAAATACATTGGAAATAGTATAACAAATATAGAAAATCTCTGGAAGTCAAAAAGAAGACAGAACGGATAAGGACTAAAGTCAGGAGTTGAGGAATGACATGTGGGGTGTTCCCATAAACTGGATCTCATCAAAACTGAAAACTTTTCCTCTATGAAACATATGTTAAGAGAATGAAAAAGTAAGTTACAGTCTGGGAGAAAATGTTTGCAAACCACGTATCTGACAATGTATGAAAATGCAATGTATGAAAACTCTCGAAACTCAACAGTGAAGTAGCAAAAATCCAATTCGAAAATAAGCAAACAAAAAACAAAGCAAAAAAAAAAAAAACCCACACACAGATTATTCACTAAAATGGGAGTTCAGATAGCAAACAAGAACTTGAAAATTTTTTTACAAAATTTGCTATTAGGGAAATGAAAATTAAAACCACCTTAAGATATCACTATACACCTATTAGTAGCCATTTTTTTTAAAAAAGTGATAATATTAAATACTAGGAAGAATGTGGACTAACTGTATCTAATACATTGTTGGTAGCAATGTGAAATGGTATAAACACTCTGGAAAATAGTTTGGCCGCTTTTTATAAAATGAAACGTGCACTTGCCATACTACATAGGATTCACACTCCTGGACATTCATGTTAAGAAATTAAATTTATGTTCATGCAAACAAATAAACACATATAATTATAGCATTTTTATTTGTAATAGCAAAAAACAAAACAAAACCTGGTAACAACATAAATGTCCTTCATTGACTGAAGGGCAAACAAAATTTGAAACCACGACACAATGGAATACTACTCATCAATGTAAAGGAATAAAGCGTTCCTACATGAAGCAATCCAGATGAATCTCAAGGTCATTTTGCTTACTGAAAAAAGTCCATTTCAAAATATTATACAGTGTATAATCCTATTTGTATATAATTCTCAAAATGACAAAATTATAGAGATGAAGAGCAGCCTAGAGGTTAACAGAGGACAGGAAGAGAAGTGGGTGAGGGAGTGTCAAATATAAAGCACAAGGAAGTTCTTTTATGGTTACGGATTACAGTGGTGGCTACACAAATCTACATGTGGGAGAAAATTCATACAAACACAGAAAAACAAATGGATGCATGTAGCAACTTGTGAAAACTGAGCAAGGTTTGTAGTCTAGTTACCAGTAGATTACCAATTTCAATATCCCAGTTTTAATATTGGAGTACATTTATACAAGATGTTGTCAATGGAGGAAACTGGGTGAAAGGTACATAGGACTTTACATATTAATACTATTTTTGCAACTTTCTCTAGTCCATACTTATTTCAAATTCAAAAGAAAAAAAATTAAGAATGAAGGATTGCTTAACTGTATAGGAATTAGCAGAGAGATTAAAGAGGATGATACTAATAATTGTATTAGATTGAACACTGCCAGGAAATAGGCATGATGCAGAGTGGTTATGGCAGCAGGATTTTAATTCTGACTCAGCCACTCATTAGGTGTGTGAAAATGGGTGAGTTATTTAACTTCTTTGTGACTCAGTCATTTCAAAGACAAAATAGAGTTAATAATAGCACATAATTATAAGGTTATTGTAAGGATCTAAAGAAGGTAATTTATATAAAACATCATCATTTTGGACACATAATAAGCATTCAATAAATGTAAATTCTTACTTTATTAGGTAACTAGGAAGCTAGTTTGTGATGGAAAAAACATCTACTGCACAATGCTCAGAGTAGAAGCCACATTTTGGCAAGAAGGAAGAGTAAGAAGAAAATGAAAGCAAATTTAAACGGGTATTTCTTTGCCATAAAAGAAAAAGAACAGAGTAGTAGCTTGAAGGTTGAGGGGAGGGTAACATATTTGTTTAGGACAGAGAAGAGCGGACAGGATTTTGAAGAAGAGGAGACAATTAAAACCTAAGTTAAAAGAAGAAAATGATATTTCATAGAAGAGATATCCCAAGGGTTAAATACCCAAAATAGACCATCTACTAATGTATTACAACTAGATTGATGATAAATTTAAAAAAGGAAATATAAGAGAATCCTTAAATAGTAACTATTTACTGAAATGGGGATTTCCCAAGTAGAAAAGACAGAAAGAAAAAGGAGGAATCCCCTGAAGACTGGCTTTCAGCAGCACACTGCAGTCAAATACCCTGAAAACAATTTTGGCTTGAAATGCAGTTTTTATAAATGGAATTTATCTATTTAAATGTAGACTTTGGACTAAACTAATGCCACACATGAAGAATTTCAGACAAAAGTTAACTCTTGTGTCTGCTATAAAATAAACTTTACAACCACTAGCAAGGCATTACATTGTGAGATAACAGTGAAAAAAGTGGGAAAATTAAAGTAAAAAAATAGTGAATATCTTTCCTCATAAGTTTGCACTAGATATTTATGAAAAAATATAGATTTGTTTTATTTTTTCCGTCAATGCCAATTCTTGAAGTTTTTATGATATTATTGTATCATAATGATATGATTTGAGAGGAGGAGAACAAACTGGGGACTGATATATTTTTTTCTTTCATCTTTGAAAAAATAAAATCTCAAGCTTTAGCTATGGAAAGATGACATTATTTTTATGTAAACACACACTCACACCTATTAATTATCCCCACAAAAATACATAGCAATCACAATTAAATGTTGTTGCATACAACTTAGTAAATATGAAAAACTTCCCACATCTGAGTATGAAAGTAGGAGAAACAACAGAAAATAATGCAGTCAAAAGCATAAATCATATCAAGTATGTTTTCAGATCATAATATAATAAAACAAGAAATCAATATCAAGAGGAACTTTGGAAAATACACAAACACATGGAAATCAAACAACATGCTCTTCAATGACCAACGGGTGAATGAAGAAATAAAGAAGAAAATTTTAAAATATTCTTGAAACTAATGAAAAATGGAAATACAACATACCAAATCTATGGGATACAGTAAGAGCAGTGCTAAGAGGGAAGTTTATAGCAATAAACACCTACATCAAAAAAGCAGAAAAACTTCAAATAAACAACCTAATGATGAACCTCAAAGAATTTAGAAAAGCAAGAACAAGCCAAACCCCAAATTAGCAGAAGGAAAAAAGTAATAAACTTCAGAGCAGAAATAAAGAAAATTGACACTAAAAAAATACAGAATATCAACAAAATGAAAAGTTGGTTTTTTGAAAAGATAAATAAAATTAACAAACTAACTATACTAACATAAGAAGAGAGAGGACCCAAATAAATAAAACCAGAAATAAAAAAGGAGACATAACAACTTAGACCACAGAAATACAAATAATCACCATAGACTATTATGAACAACTGTGTGCCAATACATTGGAAAACCTAGCAGAAATGAGTAAATTCCTGGACACATAAAACCTACCGAGATTGAATCATGAAGAAGTAGAAAACATCAACAAACCAATAATGAGTAATCAAATTGAAGCTATAATAAAAAAGTCTTTCCTCAGAGAAAAGCCCAGAATCTGATAGCTTTGTAGTTGAGTTTGCCAAAAATTTAAAGAACTAACACCAATCCTACCAAACTTTTCAAAAAAATTGAAGAGGAGGGAATACCTCTAAACTTATTCTACCAGGCCAGCATTATCCTGATATCAAAACCAGAAAAGGATATAACAAAAATAAAACTACAGGCCATTATCATTGATAAATATAGATACAAAATCCTCAACAAAATAATAGCAGACTGAATTCAAAAATACAACATGTTAAAAAGATCATTCACTATGATTTAGTGCAATTCATCCTAGAAATGCAAGGATGGTTCAAAATATGAAAATTGAGATGTGATACATCACACTAACAGAACCAAGGACAAAAACAATATGATAATTTCATTAGATGCTATAAAAATCCCATAAAAGATTCCATTCCAAGATGGCCGAATAGGAACAGCTTGGGTCTGCAGCTCCCAGTGTGATTGATGCAGAAGACAGTGATTTCTGCATTTCCAACTGAGGTATGGTTCATCTCATTGGGACTGGTCAGACAGTGGGTGCAGCCCATGGAGGGTGAGCTGAAGCAGGGCAGGGCATTGCCTCACCTGAGAAGCACAAGGGGTTGGGGGATTTCCCTTTCCTAGCAAAGGGAAGTCATGACAGACTGTACCTGGAAAATAGGGACACTCCCACCCACATACTGTGCTTTTCCAATGATCATAGCAAACAACACATGAAGAGATTATATCCTGCGCCTGCCTCAGCAGGTCCCACACCCGTGGAGCCTTGCTCACTGCTAGTGCAGGAGTCTGAGATTGACCTGCAAGGCAGCAGCCTGGCAGTGTGAGGGGTGTCTGCCATTGCTGAGACTTGAGTGGGTAAACATAGTGGATAGGGAAGCTCAAACTGGGTGCAGCCCACTACAGCTCTGCAAGACCTGCTGCCTCTGTAGACCCCACCTCTGGGGGCAGGGCATAGCTGAACAAAAGGCAGCAGAAACTTCTGCAGACTTAAATGTCCCTGTCTGACAGCTCTGAAGAGAGCAGTGGTTCTCCCACCACAGCATTTGAGCTCTGAGAACGGACAGACTGCCTCCTCAAGTGGGTCACTGATCCCTGTGTAACCTAACTGGGAGACACCTCCCAGAAGGGGCCAACTCATACAAGTGGGTGCCCCTCTGGGAGGAAGCTTCCAGAGGAAGGATCTGGCAGCAATATTTGCTGCTCTGCAATATTTGCTGTTCTGCAGCCTCCACTGGTGATACCCAGGTAAACAGGGTCTGGAGTAGACCTCCAGCAAACTCCAACAGACCTGCAGCTGAGGGACCTGATACTTAGAAGGAAAACTAACAAACAGAAAGGAATAGCAGCAACATCAACAAAAAGGACATCCACACCAAAACCCCATCTGTAGGCATCAGCATCAAAGACCAAAGATAGATAAAACCACAAAGATGGGGAGAAATCAGAGGAGAAAAGCTGAAAATTCTAAAAACCAAAGCACCTCTTCTGGTCCAAAGGATCACAGCTCCTCACCAGCAATGCAACAAAGCTGGATGGAGAATGACTTTGATGAGCTGATAGAAGTAGGCTTCAGAAGGTCGGTAATAACAAACTTCTCCAAGCTAAAGGAGGATGTTCAAACACATTGCAAGGAAGCTAAAAACCTTGAAAAAAGATTAGATGAATGGCTAACTAGAATAAACAGTGTAGAAAAGACCTTAAATGACATGATGGAGCTGAAAACATGGCAAGAGAACTACGTGATGCATGCATAAGCTTCAATAGCCGATTCGATCAAGTTGAATAATGTGTATCAATGATTGAATATAAAATTAATAAAATAAAGCAAGAGGAGAAGTTTAGAGAAAAAAAGAGTAAAAAGAAATGAAAAAAACTCCAAGAAATATGGGACAATGTGAAAAGACCAAATCTTCGTTTGATCAGTGTACGTGAAAGTGACGGGGAGAATGGAACCAATTTGGAAAACACTCTTCAGGATATTATCCAGGAGAACTTCTGCAACCTAGCAAGGCACGCCAACATTCAAATTCAGGAAATATGGAGAACACCACAAAGATACTCCTCGAGAAGAGCAACCCCAAGACACATAATTGTCAGATTCATCAAGGTTGAAATGAGGGAAAAAATGTTAAGGGCAGCCAGAGAGAAAGGTCAGGTTACCCACAAAGGGAAGACCATCAGACTAATAGCAGATCACTTGGGAGAAACTCTATAAGCCAGAAGAGAGTGGGGGCCAATATTCAACATTATTAAAGAAAAGAATTTTCAACCCAGAATTTCATATCCAGCCAAACCATGCTTCATAAGTGAAGGGGAAATAAAATCCTTTACAGACAAGCAAATGCTGAGAGATTTTGTCACCACCAGGCCTGCCCTAAAAGAGCTCCTGAAAGAAGCACTAAACATGAAAAGTAAACACCAGTACCAGCCACTGCAAAAACATGCCAAATTGTAAAGATCATCGAGGCTAGGAAGAAACTGCATCAACTAACGGGCAAAATAACCAGCTAACATCATAATGACAGGATCAAATTCACACATAACAATATTAACCTTAAATGTAAATGGGCTAAATGCCCCAATTAAAAGACACAGACTGGCAAATTGGATAAAAGTCAAGACACATCAGTGTGCTATATTCAGGAGACCCATCCCATGTGCAAAGACACACATAAGCTAAAAAGAAAGGGATGGAGGAAGATCTACCAAGGAAATGAAAGGCAAAAAAAAAAAAAAAAGGCAGAGTTTGCAATCCTAGTCTCTGATAAAACATACTTTAAACCAACAAAGATCAAAAGAGACAGAAGGCCATTACATGATGGTAAAGGGATCAATTCAACAAGAAGAGCTACCTATCCTAAACATATATGCACCCAATACAGGAGCATCAAGATTCATAAAGCAAGTCCTGAGTGACCTACAAAGAGGCTTAGACTCCCACACAATAATAATGGGAGACTTTAACACCCCACTGTCAATATTAGACAGATCAACAAGACCAAGACAGAAGGTTAATAAGGATATCCAGACTTGAACTCAGCTCCGCACCAAGCAGACCTAATAGACACCTACAGAACTCTCCACCTCAAATCAACAGAATATATATTCTTCTCAGCACCACATCACACTTATTCCCAAACTGACCACATAGTCGGAAGTAAAGCATGCCTCAGCAAATGTAAAAGAACAGAAATTATAACAAACTGTCTCTCAGACCACAGTGCAATCAAAGTAGAACTCAGGATTAAGAAACTCACTCAAAACCGCTCAACTACATGGAAACTGAACAACCTGCTCCTGAGTGACTACTGGGTAAATAACGAAATGAAGGCAGAAATAAAGACGTTATTTGAAACCAATGAGAACAAAGACACACTGTACCAGAATCTCTGGGACACATTTAAAACAGTGTGTAGAGGGAAGTTTATAGCACTAAATGCCCACAAGAGAAAGCAGGAAAGATCTAAAATCGACACCCTAATATCACAATTAAAAGAACTAGAGAAGCAAGAGCAAACACATTCAAAAGCTAGCAGAAGGCAAGAAATAACTAAGATCAGAGCAGAACTGAAGGAGATAGAGACACAAAAAAACCCTTCAAAAAATCAATGAATCCAGGAGCTGTTTTTTTTTTTTGAAAAGATCAACAAAATTGATAGACCACTAACAAGACTAATAAAGAAGAAAAGAGAGAAGAATCAAATACATGCAATAAAAAATGACAAAGGGGATATCACCACTGATCCCACAGAAATACAAACTGCCTTCAGAGAATACTATAAACACCTCTATGCAAATAAACTAGAAAATCTAGAAGAAATGGATAAATTCTTGGACACATACACCCTCCCAAGAGTAAACCAGGAAGAAGTTGAATCTCTGAATAGACCAATAACAGGCTCTGAAATTGAGGCAATAATTAATAGCCAACCAACAAAAAAATTCCAAGACCAGATGGATTCACAGCTGAATTCTACCAGAGGTACAAATAGGAGCTGGTACCATTCCTTCTGAAACTATTCCCACCAATAGAAAAAGAGGGAATCCTCCCTAACTCATTTTATGAGGCCAGTATCATCCTGATATGAAAGCCTGACAGAGACACAACAAAAAAAGAGAATTTTAGACCAATATCCCTGATGAACATCAACGTGAAAATCCTCCATAAAATACTGGCAAACCGAATCCAGCAGCACATCAAAAACCTTATCCACCACGATCAAGTTGGCTTCATCCCTGGGATGCAAGGCTGCTTCAACATATGCAAATCAGTAAACTTAATCCATCACATAAACAGAACCAATGACAAAAACCACATGATTATCTCAATAGATGCAGAAAAGACCTTCGATAAAATTCAACATCCCTTCATGCTAAAAACTCTTAATAAACTAGGTATTGATGGAACATATCTGAGAATCATAAGAGCTATTTATGAGAGACCCACAGCCAATATTATACTGAATGGGCAAAAACTGGAAGCATTCCCTTTGAAAACTGGCACAAGACAGGGATGCCCTCTCTCACCACTCCTATTCAACATAATGTTGGAAGTTCTGGCCAGGGCAATCAGGCAAGAGAAAGAAATAAAGGGTACTCAATTAGGAAAAGAGGAAGTCAAATTGTCCCTGTGTGCAGATGACATGATGACATGATTGTATATTTAGAAAACCCCATCATCTCAGTCCAAAATCTCCTTAAGCTGATAAGCAACTTCAGCAAAGTCTCAGGATACAAAATCAATGTGCAAAAATCACAAGCATTCCTATACACCAAAAACAGACAAACAGAGAGCCAAATCATGAGTGAACTCCCATTCACAGTGGCTTCAAAGAGTATAAAATACCTAGGAATCCAACTTACAAGGGATATGAAGGACTTCTTCAAGGAGAATTACAAACTACTGCTCAACAAAATAAAAGAGGACACAAACAAATGGAAGAACACTCCATACTCATGGATAGGAAGAATCAATATCATGAAAATGGCCATACTGCCCAAGGTAATTTATAGATTCAATGCCATCCCCATCAAGCTACCAATAACTTTCTTCACAGAACTGGAAAAAAACTACTTTAAAGTTCATACGGAACCACAAAAGAGCCCGCATTGCCAAGACGATCCAAAGCAAAAAGAACAAAGCTGGAGGCATCACACTACCTGACTTCAAACTATACTACAAATAGAGTTTTTGTAACCAAAACAGCATGGTACTGGTACCAAAACAGATATGTAGACCAATGGAACACAACAGAGGCCTCAGAAAGAACACCACGAATCTACAACCATTTGATCTTTGACAAACCTGACAAAAACAAAAAATGGGGAAAGGATTCCCTATTTAATAAATGGTGCTGGGAAAACTGGCTAGCCATATGTAGAAAGATGAAACTGGATCCTTTCCTTACACCTTATACAAAAATTAATTCAAGATGGATTAAATACTTAAAGGTGAGACCTAAAGCCATAAAAACCCTAGAAGAAAACCTAGGCAATACCATTCAGGACATAGGCATGGGCAAGGACTTCATGACTAAAACACCAAAAGCAATGGCAACAAAAGCCAAAATAGACAAATGCGATCTAATTAAACTAAAGAGCTTCTGCTCAGCAAAAGAAACTACCATCAGAGTGAACAGGCAACCTATAGAATGGGAGAAAATTTTTGCAATCTACCCATCTGACAAAGGGCTAATATCCAGAATCTACAAAGAACATAAACAAATTTACAAGAAGAAAACAAACAACTGCATCAAAAAGTGGGCAAAGGATAGGAACAGACACTTCTCAAAAGAAGACATTTATGCAGCCAACAGACACATGAAAAAATGCTCATCATCACTGGTCATCAGAGAAATGCAAATCAAAACCACAATGAGATACCATCTCACACCAGTTAGAATGGTGATCATTAAAAATTCAGGAAACAACAGATGCTGGAGAGGATGTGGAGAAATAGGACCGCCTTTACACTATTGGTAGGAGTGTACACTAGTTCAACCATTGTGGAAGACAGCATGGCTATTCCTCAAGGATCTAGATCTAGAAATACCATTTGACCCAACCATCCCATTACGGGGTATATACCCAAAGGATTATAAATCATGCTACTATAAAGACACATGCACACGTATGTTTACTGTGGCACTATTCACAATAGCAGAAAGTTGAAACCAACCCAAATGTCCATCAATGATAGGCTAGCTTAAGAAATTGTGGCACATGTACACCATGGAATACTATGCAGCCATAAAAAAGGATGAGTTCATGTCCTTTGCAGGGACATGGGTGAACCTGGAAATCATCATTCTGAGCATACTACCAGAAGGATAGAAAACCAAACACTGCATGTTTTCATACATAGGTGGGAATTGAACAATGAGAACACTTGGACATAGGGCGGGGAACATCACACATGGGGGTCTGTCATGGGGAGGGGGGCAAGAGGATGGATAGCATTAGGAGAAATACCTAATGTAAATGACGAGTTAATGGGTTCAGCAAACCAACATGGCACATGTATACCTATGTAACAAGCCTGCACGTTGTGCACAAGTACCCTAGAACTTAAAGTATATTTTTAAAAAATGAAAAAAAATTCCATAAAATTCACGACGCACTACGGGTTTTTTTTTTATAACAACAAAATCGACAGACTGCTAGCAAGACTAATAAAAAAGGGTTTTTTTATAATAAAAAACCCTTAATGAGTTGGGAGTGGAGGGAATGAAACTCAAAATAATGAAGGCAATAAACCCACAGCTATCATTGTACTGAAGAGGGGAAAATGGAAAGCCTTTCCTCTAAGATCAGCAACAAGACAAGGTTGCCCACTTTCACCACTTATATTCAGCATAATATTAGAAGTTCTCACCAGAGCAGTGAGGCAAGACAAATAAATGAAGGACATTCTAATTGAAAAGGAAAAAATCAAATTAGCCCTGTTTGCAAATGACATAATCTTATACGTAGAAAAACCTAAAGACTCTACCAAAAAAAAAAAAAAGAAAAACTGTTAGAACTGATAAATGAATTCAGTAAATTTGCAAGACACAAAATCAATATATGAAAATCAGTGGCATTTATATATGCCAATAGCAAACAATCTGAAAAAGAAATCAAGTAACTGGCCAGGCACGGTGGCTCACACTTGTAATCCTAGCACTTTAGGAGGTCTAAGCAGGTGGATCACTTCAGGGCAGGAGTTCGAGACCAGCCTGGCCAACATGGTGAAACCCCATCTCTACTAAAATTACAAAAGATTAGCCAGGCACGGCACATGCCAGCTACTTGGAAGGCTGAGACAGGACGACAATCACTTGAACCTGGGAGGTGGGGGTTGCATTGAATTGAGATCATGCCATTGCACTCCAGCCTGGCCAACAGAGTAAGACTTAGTCTCAAAAAAAAAAAAAAAAAAAAAAAAAAAAAGAAAGAAAGAAAGAAAGACAGAAAAGAAAAGAAAAGAAAAGAAAAAAGAAATTAAGTAATTTTATTTACAAGAGCTACAAAGAATATAAAATACCTAGGAACTGATTTAGTCAAGGAATTGGAAGAGCCATACAAGAAGAACTACAAAACACTGGTGAAAGGAATTGAAGAAGACACAAAAAAATTGGAAAGATATTCCATGTTTGTGGATTTAAGGAATTAATATTGTTAAAATGACAATTCTACCCAAAGCACTTTATAGATTCAGTGCAATCCCTATCAAAAAAACAATGTCATGCTTCACAGAAGTAGAAAAAAATCCTAAAATTTATATGGAACCCCAGAAGACTTCGAGTAGTCAAAGTAAGTAGTCAAAGTCTTTTCCTGAGCAAAAAGAACAAAGCTGGAGGCATCACATCCTTTGAATTCAAAATATTCTACAAAGCTATAATAACCAAATAAGCTTAATACTGGCATTAAAAACAGACATATATACTAAAGGAGTGGAATAGAGAACCCAGAAATAAATCCACATATTTACAGCCAACTCATTTTCAACAAAGTTTCCAATAACAAACAATGGGGAATGAACAGTCTCTTTAATAAATGGAGCTGGAGAAACTGGATAATCAACACAGAAGAATAAAACTAGATCTTCACCTTTCACACAAAAATTAAATCAAAATAGATTACAGACTGAAGTCTTAAGATCTCAAATTGTAAAACTACTAACAAAAAACTTTGGGGAAATGCTCCAGGATATTGGTCTGGGAAATGAATTTTTGTGCAAAACATTAAAAGCACAGGCAAAGTAGGCAACAATAGACAAACAGGATTATATCAAACTAAAAAGCTTCTGCACAGCGGGAAAACATGTACAAAGTGAAGAGACAATCCACAGAATGGGAGAAAATATTTACAACCTATCCATCTGACAAGAAATTAATAACCAGACTATGTAAGGAGCTTGAACAATTAGCAAAAAAAAAAATTTATTTAAAAACAAACAAAAGAACTGAATAGATATTTCCCAAAAGACGAAATACAGAGGGCCAACAGATAAAAAGCTCAACATCACTAATAATCAGAGAAATGAGAATGAAAACCACAATGAGATATCATTTCACCCCAGTTAAAATGGCTTTTATCAAAAAGACAGGAACAACGAATGCTGACAAGAATGTAGAAAAAGAGGAATCCTTATATATTGTTGGTGGGAGTGTAAATTAATGCAGCCAGTATGGAAAACTATATGGAGGTTCCTAAAAAAATTAAAAAAAGAATTTCCATATGATTCAGCAATTACACTACTGAGTATACATCAAAAATAAAGGAAATCAATATATCAAAGAGCTATCTACACTCCTATGTTTATTGCAGCACTATTCACAACAGCCAAAATATAGAATCAACCTAAGTGCCCATCAATGAATGAGTGGATAAAGAAATTGTATATATACAAATAGAATATTATTCAGCCTAAAAAAGAATGAATCCTGTCATTTGTAGCAGCATGGATAGAACTGGAAGTCATGATATAAGCCAAATACAAAAAGACAAATATTGCATGTTCACATATGGGAACAAAAAAAGTGGGTCTCATGAAGGAAGACAGTAGATTGGTGGTGACCAGAGGACAGGAAAGGTTGAGGGGCAAGTGAGGGGAATAAAGAGAGGTTGATTAATGAATACAACACACAGTTTGATAGAAGAAATAAGACCTAGTATTTCATAGATCAGTACTGTGACTATAGTTTATAATAATCTGTTGTATATTTCAAAGTAGCTGGCAGAAAATAATTCAAAAGTTTCTAGCATAAAGAAAAGATAAAGATTTAAGATGATGAATATCACAATTACACTGATTTGATCTTTACAAATTATGTGACTATATTAAATTATCACAAATACCCGAGAATATGTACATCTTTGTAGATCAATAAAAGATAAAATTGAAAAGAGAACATAAAAAAACAAATAATTCAAACACTATGACTTTTCTTATGGGGATAAAGAATGGCTGAACAAAGGTAGTGACTTATGTGATGGGAAAATTAAAATAAATTTGAGACATATTGTATTCTTCAGGATTTTCAGTTAAAAACAGCAAAACCTATTCAAGTGAGTTTAAGCTGAAAGGTATAGAAGATGTTCACAGGATCCTTAGGTGAACAAAAGCATCAAGTTTGGATGCTATGTAGCCTGAAGAAAATCGAGGTAGACAAACCTCAGTCAGGAGAAATGTTTAATCATTCTTTATCCTTATGGACCTATGATACTAGAAACTTTGCATTAGCAGTCCACAAAAAGTCATACAGCTCCACCATTAAGTTTTGGCAGGAGCTATGATATTCAGTGAGTGTGACTACTGCTTTTTTCCCTATTTGGTGGCATGTAGGTCACACGAAGAGACTTAGTTACAAGAAAGTCTGGAAATATATAGTTTTATCATTTTCCAGTTTCTAACATACAAGAAGGCAAGATCAAAGGGGGTTGGAAATGATGTTGAATGAGTCAATCTGCTATAGGTATTGAAAAGCTAAATTTGATGAACTAGATGAGTATTGTGAGATATAGGATGAGAAGGAAGACATAAGATGAGAAGGAAGGTGGCATCCAAATGATGATATCCTTGACTCTTTTCTTTTTCAAATAGTGGTGGGGATACACGGGCTGGGATCAGGTTGGGATGGACAAGCTAATGTTATGGTATTTGAACCCAGTGGCGATCTCCAGTAGAATCTGATTATATGGTTCTGGAGTTGAGGGGAGAGAGCAAAAATGATAGAGATTTGTGAGCCTTCACCATGAGATGAAAACATGGAAAAAAGGAAGAGGTAGAGCAGGCTTAGTGAGAAAGGAATATAGGCAAATCTGAATAAGACTCTGAGACATAGTTAAGGGACTAGCAGAGAAACAGAAAGCTTCTATGGAGAAGTAGTACGCCTAAGGTAGGAGGGAGAGTTTGAAAAAGACAAAAACGTAAATGATGAATACTGTCAAATGCTATAGAAATAATCCTATTAAGGTAAATTTTGGAAAAGAACAATGAATTTACCCACAGCAGACAATTCTAACCTCACATATCTCATATGAGACTGGAGATTTTATAAAGAAAAGAAGTTTAATTGTCTTATAGTTTTGCAGGCTGTACAGAAAGCATAGTGGTTTCTGCTTCTGGGGAGGCTTCAGGAAACTTCCAATCATGTCAGGAAGCAAAGAGGGAGCAGGCATCTCACGTGGCAGGAGCAGGACCAAGGGGGAGAGAGAAGAGGTGCCATATACTTTTAAACCACCAGATCTCACAAGGACTCACTCACTATTCTGAGAACAGTACCAAGGCGATTGTACTGAACCATTCATGAAAAATCTACTCCCACAATCTAATCACTTCACCCTAGGCCCTGCTTCCAACACTGGGGATTACATTTTAACATGTAATTTGGGTGGGTACACAGATCCAAACCATATTACCTTAAATGCAAATGATAACCAATGTTTTTTCCTTTTGTTCAAAAACATTATATGAAAATATCTCAAGTTAGACTAAAAGCAATAAAGTAGAATTTAGGAGGAAATTTAAGACAATAATAAGACACATCTAGAGAATGAATAATTTTGAAAAATTAAAATGTTTTGAAAACATTAAAGGATACAACAAATGTACAGCTGGACACAGAGAAGAACTGAGTAAAAAAAGTGAAAACTAATGAAAAGTTACAAAGTTTTAGTACTGTCCTAACAATAGAGAAGAAAATGTGGAAAGGAATACATTATTTGACAAGAGCAAATGACTATCATCAACAGCCCAAAATAGGATTAATTATTGTGAGGAGTAATCATAAAAGAGACTAAATAAAATGTTTTTGGAACTTTGAAAAGGAAAATTTTCTCTAGCTTTTGCCAAAGGTTGCTAGGAATTTCCAAAATATACAGAAAATAAATTAAAACATATCTCAGTGGCTGGCAAGATGGCCAAATAGAAACAGCTCCGGTCTGCAGTTCCCAGCAAGACAAATGCAGAAGGTAGGTGATTTCTGCATTTCTAACTGAGGTACCCAGCTCATCTCATTGAGACTGATTAGACAGTGTGTGCAGCCCACAGAGGGTGAGCTGAAGCAGGATGAGGCGTTGCCTCACCCGGGAAGTGCAAGGGGTCAGAGAACTCCCTCCCCTAGCCAAAGGAAGCTGCGAGGGACCATGCCATGAGGAATGGTGCATTCTGGCCCAGAAACTACGCTTTTCCCAAGGTCTTCGCAATCCACAGAACAGAGATTCCCTTGGGTGCCTACACCACCAGGGCCCTGGGTTTCAAGCACAAAACCAGGTGGCCATTTGGGCAGACACAGAGCTAGCTGCAGGAGTTTTTTTTCATACCCCAGTGGTGCCTAGAACACCAGCCAGGCAGAACCATTCACTCCCCTGGAAAGGGGGCTGAACCAGGTAACCAAGTGGTCTAGTTCAGCCGATCCCACCCCCAGGGAGCCCAGCAAGCTAAGATCCACTGGCTTGAAACTCTTGCTGCCAGCACAGCAGTCTAAAGTCAACCTGGGATGCTTGAGCTTGGTGGGGAGAGGGGCATCCACCATTACTGAGGCTTGAGTAGGCAGTTTTCCACTCACAGTGTAAACAAAGCTGCCAGGAAGTTCGAACTGGGTGGAACCCACTGCAGCTTGGTAAAGCCACTGCCTCTCTAGATTCCTCCTCTCTGGGCAGGGCATCTCTGAAAGAAAGGCAGCAACCCCAGTCATGGGCTTATAGATAAAGATCCTCTCTCCCTGAGAGAGAGCATCTGGGAGAAGGGGCATCCATGGGTGCAGCTTCAGCAGACTCAAACGTTCCTGCCTGCTGGATCTGAAGAGAGCAATGGATCTCCCAGCATAGTGCTCGAGCTCTGCTAAGACTGCCTCTTCAAGTGGGTATAAAAAAACTCCTCCAGCTAGCTTGGTGTCTGCCCAAACAGCCGCCCAGTTTTGTGCTTGAAACCCAGGGCCCTGCTGGTGGGAATCTAACTAAACTAAAGAGCTTCTGCACAGCAAAAGAAACTGTCATCAGCATGAACAGGCAACCTACAGATGGGAGAAAAATTTTGCAATCTATTCATCTGACAAAGGGCTAATATCCAGAATCTACAAGGAACTTAAACAAATTTATGAGAACAAAACAAACGACTTATCAAAAAGTGGGCAAAGGGTATGAACAGACACTTCTCAAAAGAAGACATTATGCGGCCAACAAACATATGAAAAAAAACTCATAATTACAGGTCATTAGAGAAATGCAAATCAAAACCACAGTGAGATACCATCTCACCACAGATAGAATCGCAATCATTAAAACGTCAGTAAACAACGGATGCTGGAGAGAATGTGGAGAAATAGGAAAGGTTTTACACTGTTGGTGGGAGTGTACCTTAGTTCAACCATTGTGGAAGACAGTGTGGCGATTCCTCAAGGATCTAGAACCAGAACCA
Source organism: Homo sapiens (assembly GCF_000001405.40). Classification (NCBI taxonomy): domain Eukaryota; kingdom Metazoa; phylum Chordata; class Mammalia; order Primates; family Hominidae; genus Homo; species Homo sapiens. The sequence goes on along the minus strand of NC_000004.12, from coordinate 80,663,676 downwards.
CTATTTGGCCCAGCAATCCCATTACTGGGTATATGCCCAAAGGATTATAAATAATTCTACTATAAGGACACATGCACACGTATGTCTATTGCAGCACTGTTCACCATAGCAAAGACTTGGAACCAACCCAAATGTCCATCAATGATAGACTGGATAAAGAAAATGTGGCACATATATACCATGGAATACTATGCAGCCATAAAAAAGGATGAGTTCATGTCCTTTGCAGGGACATGGATGAAGCTGGAAACCATCATTCTCTGCAAACTAACACAGGAACAGGAAACCAAACACCACATGTTCTCACTCATAAGTGGGGGTTGAACAATGAGAACACATGGACACAGGGAGGGGAACATCAAACACTGTGCCTGTCAGGGGGTGGGGGACTAGGAAGGAGGGATAGCATTAGGAGAAATACCTAATGTAGATGATGGGTTGATGGGTGCATCAAACAACCATGGCACGTGTATACGTATGTAACAAACCTGCACATTTTGCACATGTATCCCAGAACTTAAATTATAATTAAGAAATAATAATAAAAAAATTTTAAAAATGGCAAAGTATATATAATAGGAATTTGATACAACTGATTATTAATATAAAAATAAATCGTAAAATAAGGAATAAGCATTGATGTGTTGTTTTTTTTTTTCCTTTAACAGCCTGAGAAAAAGGATTCTTCAGAGACAAGATAAGTAAATTCCCAGTGACATTCCTTTTCAATGATAAGTAGCACCTAAAATTTGCTAATCTCATGAGGCTTTTGCAGCACTTGGGACTTGGTCTGCCCATAAGGCTCAAGAGCAGCTCATCTAACATGTTTTCCTCCACTTGTCTTTGGTCATCAGCCAAAGTGCTGGCCCCTGACCAGCTTACTCTCATTTCTCTCATCTCTGTCCTATTCCAGGACACCCATTCTTTCACACTTACATTCTATTTGCTACTGACCATTGCCTTTTATTCTAGAACCCTTATCTATCACCTAGCATCTACTCTACACTGCCAATCTATTCACAGATGGGTTCTTCTACTCCCTTCTAAATAGCATGCAAGCTAAAACTTTTTATTCCCTCTTACTTAACTATAGAACCCCCAAATTAAGTAGCAGCATTTTGCTTTAACCCTCCACTGCTGTATTCAGATCATTATTTGATGATTATAACAATACTTACCTCCCCTGAGATGCCTATTATCCTCTATCCACCCTTACTGATATTATCTGAAGACTTCCTAACCCATCAACACTTTTTTTTTTTTTTCGGGGGAAATTCACACCCAATATTTCACATAGGTTCTTTTCCATTTTCTTTAAGTGTCACCTGGTCTGAGAAATAAAGGGACAGAGTACAAAAGAGAGAAATTTTAAAGCTGGGTGTCCAGGGGAGACATCACACGTCGGCTGGTTCTGTGATGCCCCCTGAGCCGTAAAACCAGCAAATTTTTATTAGTGATTTTCAAAAGGGGAAGGAGTGTACGAATAGGGTGTGGGTCACAGAGATCACATGCTTCACAAGGTAATAAAATATCACAAGGCAAATGGAGGCAGGGCGAGATCACAGGACCACAGGACCAGGGCGAAATTAAAATTGCTAATGAAGTTTCGGGCACGCATTGTCATTGATAACATCTTATCAGGAGACAGGGTTTGAGAGCAGACAACCAGTCTGACCAAAATTTTTTAAGTGGGAATTTCCTCGTCCTAATAAGCCTGAGAGCGCTATGGGAGACTGGGGCTTATTTTATCCCTTATCCACAACTGTAAAAGACGGCTGTCACCAAAGCGGCCATTTCAGAGGCCTCCCCTTAGGGACGCATTCTCTTTCTCAGGGATGTTCCTTGCTGAGAAAAAGAATTCAGCAGTATTTCTCCTATTTGCTTTTGAAAGAAGAGAAATATGGCTCTGTTCTGCCTGGCCCACAGGCAGCCAGAGTTTAAGGTTATCTCCCTTGTTCCCTGAACATTGCTGTTGTCCTGTTCTTTTTTCAAGGTGCCCAGATTTCATATCGTTTAAACAATTTGTGCAGTTAATGCAATTATCACAGGGTCCTGAGGCGACATTCATCCTCAGCTTATGAAGATGATGAGATTAAGAGATTAACGTAAAGATAGGCATAGGAAATCACAAGAGTATTGACTGGGGAAGTGATAATTGTCCATTAAATCTTCACAATTTATGTTCAGAGATTGCAGTAAAGACAGGTGTAAGAAATTATAAAAGTATTAATTTGGGAAACTAATAAATGTCTATGAAATCTTCACAATTTATGTTCTTCTGACATGGCTTCAGCCGGTCCCTCCGTTCAGGGTTCCTGACTTCCCGCAACATTTTTTTTTTTTTTTTTTTTGAGATGGAGTTGTGCTCTGTCACCCAGGCTAGAGTGCAATGGAGCAATCTGGGCTCACTGCAACCTCCGACTCCTGGGTTCAAGCAATTCTCTTGTTGCAGCCTCCTGAGTAGCTGGGACAACAGGAGCACGCAACCACATCCGATTAATTTTTGTATTTTCAGTAGAGACGGGATTTTGCCATATTGGTCAGGCTGGTTTCAAACTCCTGACCTCAGGTGATCCACCTGCCTCAGTCTCTCAAAGTGCTGGGATTACAGGTGTGAGCCACCGTGCCCGGCTCCCATCATCACTTTAACGGAGTTAGCACTTTCCTATCCAACCTAGGATAACATATCATTTAAGTTCTCTCTTGCAACAATCCCCATTTCCCATGTCTTTTTGGTCTTTTGTTGTATCTGACCTACTAACATTCCAAGGTAGATTGATCCAGACATTTTTTTCACTGCACTTGTAGCTACATCCCTGGGTACTGCTGAAGGAACTTTTAGGAAATTTCACAAAACTGTGGATGGCTGCTACAATAATTTATAGTTTCCAAACTCAATCGAGCCCTTTGTGACTCTTAAAACTCATGTTCAAAATTAAAGTCATTTTAATTTCTGAAGCCTCCTGTTGCTTCTGTGTCACCTGTCTTGGCAAATGGCACCACCCTTGAAACCAAAGGCAAAATCCAGATGTTATCCTAGACCTCTTGTTTTCCATCGCCACCCTTATAACTAATAATTTATTAAAACACTTAATTATATTAACAGTTTTGTTTTGTTAAAGCAAATGTAAGATATCTCATTTGATCTGCAAACACTTCAGCATAGATCTTTGTCTTGTAACATTTTTAAAGAAAACATCCTGACATTATTATGCCTAACAAAATACTTTCCTTAATGTCATCTGATACCTACTTCACATTTTATTTTCACCTTTATTAACATTTCATTGACTGTCTATTTCTTATAGTTGGTTTGACCAAATTTCAAGTGACATTATGTTTTCTCACACTGTATCTTGACCTCTTGCATCTTTTTTCCTTTACAACAGTCCCCGCCATTCTTTTTATCTTCTATGCTATTGATTTGTTGGAGAAACCAGGTCCTTAAAAACATTATCCTAAAATGTCTCACATTCTGGATTTTACTGCTCCAGTAAAATCATGCTGTCTGTTCTACTATCCATATTCCTCTATTCCCTGTAAACTGATTTGATTAAATGTAGTATAATTTTTTTCTGAGTAAGAAATTTTAATATGTGATGCTCTATACTGCCTATTGCCCCAATTTTAGATCTCCTGAGCTCAACCAGTAGGTTCAGATAGTGTCAGTCTAATTACTTCATTACAAGATTTCCCATAAAATTTCACCCAATGTTATTAGCATCTATTATTGAAAGTTACCTAAATATTTTTACTAAGGGTTGAATAATAGTGACTCTATAATTCTATCATTTATCCTGAATTTGTTAGCTTGAATTCTTCTATACAGAAAAACTTTTCCTTATCACTTATTTGGTTACCTTGAAATAAATTCATGCAGAAATACAAAGTAAATATTTTTCTTAATTTATAGAAAATAAAAAGAAACACAAAAGAGTGTATAGATTATGCCAATTTATTTTTCAGAGTAGTTATATTATTTTGTATCCATGAGAAGTCTTGTATAAGTGATCTGGTTAACCCTCATCCTCAACAACACAAGATATTAACAAACTGTTTTTTTCCCACTATAGTGAGTTATACATGATCTCTCAATGTGGTTTTCATTTTTATTTACTTGATTATTTATTAGATTGAGCATCTTTTATTGGCTGTTCAGATTTTCTTTCTGTGAAGTACCTATTAAGATTTTTCCCTATTATTTCAAGTGAGTTATTCTTTCTCTTGCAAATTATAAGATTCTTTTTATTTATTTTTGGATATTGATTAATCCTTTGCTGCTTATGTGTATTACAAAATATCATCTCTCAGTGTGTAGTTCTTTTGTTTTTTTTTCATTGATTTTGATGGTTAGAAATCAGAATTTCTGACAGTCATCTTAATGCATTTTAAACTTTACCTCTGCAGTTTGCACTTTTGTATTTTGTTGAATAATTTCATCTTTTCTGGAAGTCATAAGTATACTCTTATAGGATATTATAGTTTTGCTTTCGATTTTATATTTTTAACTGCCCAGTATTAATATAGCATATGGTAGTTAGGCAGTTGTTATTAGGGGAAAAAGTCCCTTTGGTATATGAAGTTCCATACTTAGTTTGATTCAGAACTAAAGCCAAAATTTGAAATTAAATATTTCATAAAGTCTGTATATCTTTAACTTTTGGCATGGTCTTTTATTCTGTGTAGAGAAAAACACTATTTCTATGATTAGAGTCTTGTCTTTCATTTTTACTGTGGAAAATATAAATGTCAATAGACAGCTGCTACTATTATGAAATGCAGCAGTAGAAGGGGCCCTGACCAACTGGCAATCTTTTGAATTCAGCTTCCATCTTGTCTATGTCTTTAAGATTCAGTACTTTCTTTTCAACACACTTGTCACTAATTATAAGTGGATAGTATGCTACAGTTTCAAGGTCTTTCACACTTCCCTATTGATATGGTTATGATAAGCACTATTCTTACTATCTGAGAGAGGATGAAATAGAGAGGAAACCACTTACTAAAGTTCACAAGTGAAACAGTGATGAGAAAGGACAAGTTCTTCAGCATTCTAATTCACTGCTCACCCCCAGAACACTTTTCCTGGTTTAAGCTTTTGTATCAATGATGCAAGGCTGGTAAAACATACACAAATCAATAAATGTAATCCATAACATAAACAAAACCAATGACAAAAACCAGATGATTATCTCAATAGATGCAGAAAAGACCTTCGAAAAAATTCAACACTGCTTCATGCTAAAAACTCTCAATAAACTAGGCATTGATGGAATGTACCTCAAAATAATAAGAGCTATTTATGGCAAACCCACAGCCAATATCACAGTGAATTGGTAAAAGCTGGAAGCATTCCCTTTGAAAAACAGCACAAGACAAGGATGTCCTCTCTCACCACCCCTATTCAACATAGTATTGGGAGTTCTGGCCAGGGCAATCAGGCAAGATAAAGAAATAAAGCGTATTCAAATAGGAAGAGAAGAAGTCAAATTGTCCCTGTTTGAAGATGACATGATTGTATACCTAGAAAACCCCATCGTCTCAGCCCAAAATCTCCTTAAGCTGATAAGCAACTTCAGCAAAGTCTCAGGATACAAAATCAATGTGCAAAAATCACAAGCATTGCTACACACCAATAATAGACAATCAGAGAGCCAAATCATGAGTGAACTCCCATTCACAATTGCTACAAAGAGAATAAAATACCTAGGCATACATCTTACAAAGGATGTGAAGGACCTCTTCAAGGAGAAGTACAAACCAGAGCTCAAGGAAATTATTTGAGAGGACACAAACCAATGGAAAACGTTCTATGCTCATGGATAGGAAGAATCAATATCATGAAAATGGCCATCCTGCCCAATGTAATTTATAGATTCAATGATATCCCCATCAAGCTACCATCGACTTTTTTCACAGAATTAGAAAAAACTACTATAAATTTTATATGGAACCCAAAAAAGAGCCCATCTAGCAAAGACAATCCTAAGCAAAAAGGACAAAGCTGGAGGCATCATGCTACCTGATTTCAAACTATATTACAAGGTTACAGTAACCAAAACAGCATGGTACTGGTACCAAAACAGAGATATAGACCAATAGAACAGAAAAGAGGCCTCAGAAATAATTCCACACATCTACAACCATCTGATCTTTGACAAACCTGACAAAAAAAAGCAATGGGGAAAGGATTCCCTATTTAACAAATGGTGTTGAGAAAACTGGCTAGCGATATGCAGAAAACTGAAACTGGACCCCTTCCTTACACCTTATACAAAAATCAACTTAAGATGGATTGAAGACTTAAACATAAGACCTAAAACCATAAAAACCCTAGAAGAAAACCTAGGCAATACCATTCAGTACATAGGCATGGGCAAAGACTTCATGACTAAAACACCAAAAGCAATTGCAACAAAAGCCAAAACTGACAAATGGGATCTAATTAAACTAAAGAACTTCTGCACAGCAAAAGAAACTATCATCAGCGTGAACAGGCAACCTATAGAATGGGAGTAAATTGTTGCATCTATCCATCTGGCAATGGGCTAATATCCAGAATCTACAAGGAACTTAAACAAATTTACAAGAAAAAAAAAACAAATAACTTATCAAAAAGTATGCAAAGGATATGAACAGACACTTCTCAAAAGAAGACATTTATGTGGCCAACAAACATATGAAAAAAAGCTCATCATCACAGGTCACTAGAGAAATGCAAGTCAAAACCACAATGAGATACCATCTCACACTAGTTAGAATGGTGATCATTAAAAAGTCAGGAAACAACTGATGCTGGAAAGGATGTGGAGTAATAGGAACAGTTTTACACTGTTGGTGGGAGTGTACATTAGTTCAACCATTATGGAAGACAGTGTGGTGATTCCTCAAGGATCTAGAGCCAGAAGTACCATTTGACCCAGCAACTCCATTATTGGGTATACACCCAAAGGATTATAAATCATTCTACTATAAAGACACATGCACATGTATGTTTATTGCAGCACTGTTCACAATAGCAAAGACTTGGAACCATCCCAAATGTCCATCAGTGATAGACCGGATAAAGAAAACGTGGTACATATACACCATGGAATACTATGCAGCCATAAAAAAGGATGAGTTCATGTCCTTTGCAGTGACATGGATCAAGCTGGAAACCATCATTCTTAGCAAACTAACACAGGAACAGAAAACCAAACACTGCATGTTCTCACTCATAAGTGGGAGTTGAACAATGAGAACCCACGGACACAAGGAGGGGAACATCACACACAGGGGTCTGTCGGGGGCTGGGGCACTAGGGGAGGGATAGCATTAGGAGAAATACCTAGTGTAGATGATGGGGTGATGGGTGCATCAAACCACCATGGCACGTGTATACCTATGTAAAAAACCTGCATGTTCTGCACATGTATCCCAGAACTTAAAGTATAATAATAATTTTTTAAAAACATATCTCAATGGTCCTGTAATAATAATAGTCTTTTTTTTAGTATAAAACTGCAACAATAATTTGATTTGTATCAATTTTTAAATGACTTAAAAATGAACAATGCAAACACCGGAATAGCCAAGAATATAAAGTTACATTAAAAAATCTGAGCTGCTCATTGGTTTATGCATATTCAAAATGATGTTGGGCAATTTACTGCAGCTGTTCATTATGGGCAGATGAGAGGAAATCATTTAAGCAACTTCCAGCCACCTGACTTCCACCTTTGACTAGAAGAAGCAAGAGAAGCAAGAACAGCTCTTCAAACAGAGAGCAAGGAGATGGTTTGCATGCCAATAAGCAGAGCAGGGTGAAAAGTGTACGTTTCTTTGTGATATATGTGAATAGTTTCAGAAAATGAAGTTGGCAGCTTCCCAGTTTTCCTCCTGGGGCCCCATGTTTATAATTCCAGTAGCTAACATTCACATAATTACAATTGCAATTTCACTTTGAGAATATTGTTGGGCTTCTTTTGTGCCTAATCGTCTGAACAGCTGTGTCTTCAAGTTGAAGTGTCTACTCACTGTTTCAAATATTTTAAGAAAATAGAATGGGAATCCTATCTGGTACCATTATTAAAATGAAAAAAAGAAACATATTCCCATACCCTTGAAAAATGAGGGGGTTTCTCTTTTATTTGCTCTTCAAGAACAACACATGCAAAGCATTTGTGGAGCCAACACAGCTGCAGGACCCACTTACCATACCAATTCTGTGTACCCATTCTAGCTTTTACAGACTTGAGTTTAAGATATATAAAATACATTTCCTGTCATGATTCCAGAATATTTCTTTTAAAATCAGTATTTCATCATATTGTATCCGGCAGCAATAGACGATAGCTTATTTTTGTATTTTTCAGTGTTACTTTTACTTCATCTTAAATATTTTCTTGTCATAATGTTAGAGAGATTGCTTAGCCAGAAATTAGATTACTGGAAATAGTAAATGCACAACCGATATGTTATGGATAATTAAATGGATAATACCTATTGTAGTCAATCAGTCTCACCGAAAGTTTTGACTGTCTGTCATTTATTCTGTATAGTACACAAACTCCTAGAGAATTATTTTTAAATAAAGGTAAAAGATTAAGTATTATTAATTAACTGGCATCGCCCTAGAATTCACTCTTAATGTCTTTTATTAAAATATTACATTTTGTGGGTCTGACTAAAGAGACTAGGAAATAAAAGTGTGTGGATGTTTGTTACTTCAACAGATGAAAATACATATTTTAATTTTTTAAAAATAGTAAGTTAGAATAGCTAGGTATGATGGTTACTACCTATAATTCCAGCACTTTGGGTGGCCAAGGCAAGAGGATTGCTTGAGGCTATTAGTGCCTGAGCCATAGAAAGAGACCTCGTCTCTACCAAAAAAAAAAAAAAAAAAAAGTTAAAAATTAGCTCGGCATGGTGGCATGCATGCCTATAGTCCCAGCTACTCAGGAGGTTGAAGTGGAAGGATTCTTTAAGCCCAGGAGATTGCAGTAAGCTATGATCTATGATCATTGCCTGTGCATTTCAGCCTAAGCAACTGAGTCAGACCCATTCCCTCATCTCAAAAAGCTTAGAATAATGAATATTGAATTGCACAAATTATTAACTCAGTGCAATATAGAAGGTGGATCTGTGGACATGCTTACAGTTATGTGTTTATTTTAATTTCTGATGGCATTTTGCCTTCAAATAATCATTCATTTAGAACAGAAAATGTTACAATAGATTAATGAAACCTAAAACACAGTTACCCTAAAGGCTGAAGAAAGGAAGAAAGCCCAAGAACTATAAACATACTATCCAGACATTGGAGCAACAGAGTTTACAGAAAATTCCATGAGAAATCTTCCAGACCAATAAATACCACCAAAATATCTGCTCTGAGTAAAACTCCCAGGTGCCTTTATCCTGAGGGCATAAAAAATAACTGAATGCACTTTATCTATTTTGAACACAGGCAATTAAAAAGACACAAAGATTTGTAAAACATGAATTCAATAATGTATTGCTACTATTGATCATATTAATCTTTAAGCTTTAAGAAACTGCCCATCATTCCCCAGTACCGCAATGTCATGGAGCTTTTTAACAGGTTAGCCATAATTTGAGCAAACTGTATAACCCAAATGTCATAACTGCAGAGCAAGCATCTGAAATAAACTCAGCTCAATGCATTAGTTCTTTCCCACCACATTATATTAGCATGATATGCATACCCACATATATATAAACACATATTAAAGATGTATGAACAAATAGGACACAAACTTGATGGCAGTAAATCATTGTATAAAACACTCATATGAAATGTCCAGCAAGAAAAGACTACTACATTATTGTTTAACACGAATAACATCTTAAGACTATGAAAATTTTTTCAATATTAGAATTTAGTATTTCAAGTGATAGACAATGGTTTTGGTGAAAATACTTAAAAATGTATTGTATGCTTCAAACACATTTTAATGTAAAATGAAGTTTTTCTTGATACTATCCTTTTATTATATAAAGCATTGTGTCCTTGTGTTACATTCAAAACGAATATAAATGGAAGTGCTAATATGTTTTTTTCATACACTTTACTTGCTCATCTTTCTGTCCCTCTGAGGTATGTGTTTGGGGACCACTGATAAGGACAATGAGAAGACACTGTAATTTTTGAACAGGAGAATGGCATTGACAGAAGAATATGCTATAGTGTTCACCTTGGGTAGAAAGCATATTTGAGTAGATGACATTATAGATCAGTAGGAGGCCATTTGTAATTTTTTAAATTTTTGTACTGTATACATAATCCAGTTGAGTAAAAATGAAGCCCTAAACTACAACAGAGGGATGGAGAAAAGGAGACAGATGGCAAAGGAAACATCACTAAAAATGGAGAGGTGAGGAGGAAATGGCTTTAGGATATCTCCTGTGTGCCTTACCTGAACCATCAGACAGTAGATCTGCCGTTTGTCAAAATGTGGGACAGAAAGAGGAGGTTTTGGATAAGTATGAAAAACTATGCATTCAGTTTTATGTATATCTGATATACAAGTGTGCATATAGCTGAATACAGAGGTTTGGACCTGAGAAAAGAGATGTAGGATGGAAACCATCACTTCACAGTTTTAAGCAGACAACAAAAGCAGGGTACATTGTCTCTAAATTCACATGAGAAATACAAGAGGAGGGGACTCTACTTCTTTTATTAACAGCTTTCAAAGATGAACTTACTATACTTCCTGATTCCCTATGTGGAAAACATGGAGCATGAGTATGCAATTCCAGGGCAATAAGGCATAGGCACGTCAACTTTGCATTGGAGGCGAGTCGGATTTGAGAACTCAAGTTTATTTGTATGACGCTGGGGAGAACTTCCCTAGGATATTTCTTCAGAGAAAACTCTGGACACCAAAACAAGGAGGGCTAAGCACCAGAGAGGAATGAGGGAGCACTAGAGGCAGCACAGAGACATGAGAAGTGTAGTTGGTCAACACAGTGTGAGAAAATGACCAGGAAGGGAACCAGGACTTGAGGGTTCATATGATGCATTCAATATGTTTTGACCATTCTTGCATTCATTGTAAATATTTTTGTGACTGTTAAAGTTAATTATTAAAATATTTCAATATCCTATTCAAACAAAGCCTATTCACAATGCATATACAAGATATAAGGAATACTGTAAAACAACCCTGTGTAACCAGCACCAACTTTGACATTCCCAGTCCAGTTGTTGCCCCCTATTTACACTCCCTGATTACACCCGCTTCTCTCTTTCCCAGAGGTAACTGAAGTTTATGTTTTACTCTGAAATTTATGTTTTTCATTTCTTACTTTTCTCTATAATTTTGCCAAATATATAAATACATATTTTATAAAATATTGTTCATAAAAATTTTTAACTTGGTGAAATTTTACCTCATGCAGCGACTCCACTTGATGAAATTTTACCACATGCAGAGACTCTACTTGATGAAATATTCTGGCAACATTAAAGTTCTACAACCACTAACAACAGTATTTCATCATCTAAAATGTGCAGTGTCACATCTAATGCAAAACATTTATTGTCACCCCTGTAGTCAGCTTCAAGATTAGATCAAAGTTTTGTTGTGACAATCACAGCCTAACTTTTCATCTTCCTGAGAATTGTTTCTTCTGTATTTTCAAAATCAACCAAATTTGCCATTTTGAGTAGAGTATGTCCAGGTTCCTGATTGTAAAAGTAATATCCTCATTTGGAAAAAAAATAATTAACCGCAAGACATTTTCAACTCACCCTTGCAATTCAAATGATTCCTCTAATTCATAAACACGTGAACTCTTCACATAAGCTCTTTGACTTTGCCCCAGATTATTAGAATGATATATGGTCAACTGACAATTCAAAGTTTACCTGTGTGATTTTGTCTCTTCTGTGCCTATTTATTATAGTCCACCACAGACACACAAACACACACACACACACACACACACACACACACACAAGTGCATACCTAACAGCTTAGAAAAAAGAAAGTGAGATTCGCCCGGGCACGGTGGCTCATTCCTGTAATTCCAGCACTTTGGGAGGCTCAGATAGGAGGATCATTTGTGCTCTGGAATTCAAGACCAGCCTGGGCAACAGAGAGAGACCCTATCTCTACAAAATTCAAAAAATTAGCTAGGTGTGGCGGCGCACAACTCTAGTCTCAGTTACTTGAGGGGCTGAGGTGGGAGGATCACTTAAACCCAGGAGGTCGAGACTTCAGTGAGCTGAGATCGTGCCACTGCAGTCAAGCCTGGGTGACACAGAGAGACTCTGTCTCAACAAAAAAAAAAAAAGAAGAAGAAGAAAGAAAGAAGAAGGAAGGAGAAGAAGAAGAGAGAAAGAAAGAAGAAAGAAAGAAAGAGAGAGAGAGTAAGAGAGAGAAAGAGAGAAAGAGAAAGAAAGGAAGGAAGGAAGGAAGGAAGATTCTTAGATTTGGGTCACTGAAGTATAAATATCTGCATTTCAAAATCCCATAAACAAAATATCAAAGCAAGTAACAAGGAGAAAAATATTTGCAACCTAAATGGCAAAAGGCACCTGTATAAATTAACAGAAAAGTACATTAATATAAAATTTACAAAAATATACAAATCACTAATAATTGTAAACAATGTTAAATCTTAAAAAATATTTTTTTAATTTTTTTTATTTCCATAGGTTATTGGAGAACAGGTGGTATTTGGTTACTTGAGTAAGTTCTTTAGTAGTGATTTGTGAAATTTTGGTGCACTCATCACCCGAGCAGGATACACTGCACCCAGTTTGTAGTCTTATATCCCGCACCCCCTTCCCATCCTTTCCCCTGAGTCCCAAAGTCCATTGTGTCATTCTTATGCATTTGCATCCTCATAGTTTAGGATGCAAATAATAAAAATAACTTAAAATCCAAATAATTTTAAAATAACAAAAAAGAAAACAAAGATACTACTTAGGATAGGGAAGTTAAGAGAAAGCAGCATACAAATTGGAAAGCTAATTCATACTATGAAGCAAAAACTTTAAGATGCATAAGGCTTACTTACCTAACCCTAGCCCTGTACTGTACCTTTTAAGAGATGGGTAGAGACATTTAGGTCTCAGGTAGTTCATCCCCATGGTTACATTAGAGACTCTTTAAAAAGTTTAAGTGCCAGTCATCTATGGTCAAATAAAATCTGACACATCAAATAGGATAACATTTGTGTAAGTCATTAAGATCATGCGCTGGAAAAATAATTTTGAATATTAAAAGATGCTAAAGAGATATGCTAAATAAAGAACTGAAGAAAAATGATGTATCAATATAATTTTATGAGAATATGATTTTTAAAAGGTAGTTTACATAGTTTTTTGTACATATAAATGTTATATCCTACAAAGTACCTTCTGGAGAGTAGGATAAAAATATTTTTAATTGATGTTTTTAAATTTATTAATTTAAAATTATCATTTTAAAAATTGTGTTTCTCAATGCACAAAAAGTATAATTTCCAATATATGGATGTTTGAATTCTGCAAATTCTTACAAATATTAACTTTCCTAACATATTTTAGATAATTCTACATATAAACGGTATTCACATTTTCTTATGCTATATGCATTTTACAAAGCACTTCTGTATGATTATTTTGTCACTATTTTGCATATTTACAAAGTAAGCTAACCTCCCAACTGAAAGCCAGTAGAGCATTGAAAAAAAATAAAATAAAATGGTACTCCTTCCTATTAATCACGTACAAAAATGAATGTCCACTTTAAGAACATTTTCTTTAATGATTTATGAAGAAAACTCCCTAACACCTAAAGAAGACATTTCACTTAAAGGCACATAAAACTGAAACATGACAACAATTTGGAATCCTTCAAAAATATTTAAAGTCCAATTTTAGTGTCTTTTTAATAACAAACAATTTGAGCAAACATTTTCTTTTATACACAAAAAAGTTATATTTTAATTTTGCCTTTCATTTTATTTAGGAATGACACAGTTTTTGATCTAAAAGTTTATTAATTTTTTACTTTAGGCAAGTTCTTTCAAGATACCAATCTAATGATGCAATTTCTAAAAATAACTGCAACTAATGAAAGGAAATAAATATTTCTTAATTTAAATTTTATTTAGAGTTTATTTTTAAAAATCAACAAGAACTGCCAGAAAATGAAATAAAATTGTTTCATTAAGTTCATGAGTTATTTTGCATTGCATCCTTTCAGTATTGCTGTCTCTGCTTCTAGCATCTTCTCACTTCAAACAAAGCCCTCTAAATAGCCCCAAAATGTGTATATTTCAAATGGAAATGAAGTGTCATCTCTTCTATGAAGAAGCTTCTCAATAGGCAGAACCAGTCATTATTTTACAGGGTCTCCCATAACACTTTATACCCATCTTAACAGATGTTCCATAAATTATCATTTCTAAACTCAAGCACCATCAGTACCTAAAATAACCAACTTACTTAAAAGTTCCAACACTTTGGACTTCAGGTAGCTCCCTTCTCCTCCTGACCCATAGTTTCTTCCCTCTGTAATACTTTCTGCTCTCCTCCTATCGCCCTTTGTTAGTCCAGTTTCCTCCCTCTGAAATGACCTTTCCCTCTAGCTGTATACCAGAAAACTGCTTATTTTAAGTTGCAGTTTAAACCGCACTTTCTAGGTGAAGTCTCCCTTATCTTCTTAGTGAGAAGTAAACTCACCATCCATCTATCTCCTTGGTGTCAATTTGATGTTGTCCACTGTTGTTTCTTGAAAGCTTGGACAGAGTTTTAACCATTTTTGTATACCCTAAAATAGAGAATTTGAAACATCTTCTGATAAAGAAACACATTTCAGATGAAAACTTTTATAGATCCCCGATATATTAAAATATGCTTTAGAATTTTTTGGTTGGGCTTGCATTCATAATTTTAACTTAAATTATTGTTAATCAGTAAAACAATGAGGCTGTTGTGAAAGATATTCAAAATGAGAAAATCTGAGTAACTTTTGCTATCCCATCTATCAGCTGTATATTTTTACTTATTTCTCAATTTTCTTTGAGTAGTACAATATTAAGAAAATCATAGTTCATACAATGAAATTGCAAATAGTAATTGATTTTAACACCTTGTCTTTATTTCAAGATTTTTCAATTACATTGTCCCAGAACCACGAAAGAGGAGTGAAATGAACTCTCAAAGTTGAACTACAGTAGAAATCCTCTTAATCTGACACAGCTGGACTGTCATTAGTGAGTTTGTTAAAGAACAGTTAAGGAGAGGATCATACAAAGCACACAAAGCATAATTTTTAATGTAAAACATACAAATGCCCAAGTAGTTACCATTTTAAAACCATAAATAAGGCCTTTTCTAGGCAAGTGACTGCTCTCAGAGTTTCTTATAATCTTTCTTATACAAATTACCTCCAATGTGTCATTTATAAATTCTAGTATCAGTTTCTGGAAAGCATAGCAGGAACCTAAAGGTACTTTTTAAGTGACTTGCTCATGAAAATCATCTAGATGTTTATGATTCTCTCTCCAATAATGTGCAATTATTTTTCCACACCTAATTTAACCATAATTTTAGCCAAAACTTTCCAAAACATTAACTAACTTTTCTTAAAAACATTTTTCCTTTTTTTGGAGACAGAGTCTCTCCCTCTGTCACCCAGGTTGGAGTGCAGTTGCCGGATCTCAGCTTACTGCAACCTCCACCTCCTGGGTTCAAGTGATTCCCTTGCCTCAGCCTCCCAGGTAGCTGAAACTGCAGGTGTGTGCTGCCATGCCCAGCTAATTTTTAGTAGAGATGGGGTTTCACCATGTTGGGGTTTCACTCCTTACCTCAGGTGATCCGCCCACCTTGGGCTCCCAAAGTGCTGGGAGTACAGGCATGAGCCACTGTGCCCAGCCTAGAAACATTTCTTTTTGCTCTCACATTTCATCAGCTTTTATAACATTTGATTCAATTACATGAACAATTAAATATTACATTTAATAAATAAAAAGAACAACTAGCATAAACATGTGTGGAAACAAATGTGAATGGCTCTTGATTAGCATACACCACAACTAAAAAAGGCAGAGTGCATAGACAGCAAGCAGTATCCCACTAAGGGGGAGCATTTATTCAAGTGTGGGCACAGTCGGTGGGTTTCAGAGAAAATGGGTCATTTCATCGTCTAGTGAGTCACTAGGCACAGATTCAGAGACTTTCTATTATACTAATTATTTAGCAATATTTGGACTCCACATCTTAAATAAAAAATGCAGAGAAAACAAATGCCTATGAAATCTATTTAGGATATCACCTTACTACTTGCCATTAAAACATTACTTGATATTTTTCAAATGACTACAATGGCAAGAGCATGCACCAAACAGATGTGTCTGAGACTTGACTGATGTTTGATTCAGCTCCATGAAGTATACTGAAATCTTCCATTAATTAATTTAATAAATATTTCTTGACTCCCAAAACATGTAACCAACAGTGCTAGGTTCTGGGAGTATAATGATAAAAAGATTCATTCCTTTTTAGAACTTATGTTTTGGAGTGGCAGTCTCCAAACTATTTGTTAACATACTGCTACCAGTAAAAATACTTGAGGTTTATCTATATCTAAATCTTATCTGTATCTATCTACATCTATATGTACATCTATATCTATTTACCTATTTAAAATACACACACACACACACACACACACACACACTCTCTCTCTCTCTCTCTCTCAAAGAATTGGAAAACCTAGTCCAAACCTAGTTTCAAACATATTTTTCTAACTTATATATTTTAAAACTATACTGCCAGATCGAAGAATACGTTCTAAAACTGAATTAATTATTAATCCATTTGGCATTTATATCACCTCATTAGCACAACTAAATATGGTTTATCTTTAGGGAGGAGAAGTAAAAAGAGTACAGAGAAAGAGAAGCAACAGGAGAAGGGAGATAAGGGAAGGTAGAAAGAACAAACTATCAAGATTTCTTATGTTTTCTGGCATCTAGGGTTGAGAGAAGACAATGGTTTCTGTCAATAAGAATCATTGTGCACTTTTTAGGAATGAATGTGATACATGACCTTGTTTTCTGATAAAATTTTAAAAATGTTTGGATAGCTTTTATTCTAAACTTTTAAAGAAACTTAAAAATTAAACTGGCTTATACAAGAGAATTAATACAGAATTTATAAACATGAAACAGAATAAAGCTTCTATTAGAATTAATTGTAGTACTCTTATTCTGCACAGTAGATCCATTGTAATTAGCTGATTAGAAATTAGGGTAATATGTCTCTAGCAATCATCAATTTAAATTGGATACAGGAGGCCAGCACTGGTGGATACTGTTCAGTGAGAGTAAAGCCACAGCAAAAGAATTTCCAGGCTGACTAAATATCACATCTGGGTAAAGCATGCCTGCCCCTTTCTTTTTCTTTTATTTAACAAATATTGCATGGGACGAAGGAATGTCAAGGCTAAACTCTCTAATACAGATGTAGAACACACGCATTTGCACCAGCTCAGAGCAAGATGACAGACACTGGAGGCACTGTTGTGGCTTGGTAGTTAAATTGTTCATTTCCATTAACTTGTGGTTCAAAGATACTACCACATTTAGGGAAGGATACTGCCTTTTTGGTGACTGCTGTGTTAAAAGCTAAGTCTTAAGAACTAACAGTGGAAAAAACCACATATTTCAAGATTATGCTAAATGTCAAATTTTTCAAACTGAGAGAAATTCAGTCACAGCAAAGCACAAGTTTTAGAACTTTGTTTAGACAAAAATTATTTGCAGATACTTCTACCAATCACTTTTCCCAATTTTACCTGATATTGTTGTGAGAAGAGGTGCAATAAGCCCTTGACCTTATAAGTCATAAAGACCTTGGAAAATATGCTATGTAAGAGAAAGAACAACACATGATAGGGGCCAAACATCTCTTCCCAACCTCAAAAATATTCCAAGAGACAGGAAGCTATTTAAACTACCTGAAGTTCTATCAGTTCTTCCTTTTTTCCTAGTTATTTTGCATTATAAGTTAGATGGCATGCAACATAAACATCTTAAATTCTAAATACAGCTAACTTTTCTTGAGCACTGAACGTGCTAGTCACTGTCCTAGGGTAAATATGTGTGTGTTTATGTGTATGTGCATGTGTGTGTGTGGATAACTTGACATAGATACAAACAGATACACCTACATATGTGTGTATTTATGTATCAAATCTGTGAATACAGATATTTTATTGTAGAGTATTAACAGATACTTTTTTATCCTCCCAGCATCCTCAAGAGGTAGATTAGGTTAATATTTTCCATTTAAAAAAGAAAAAACTAAGGCTAAAAGAAGGTAGGTAGAGCTTGGTGCTGTATACCTCTAAAATCTATGATTCTCAACTGCAACTCTATACTCCATGCAAGTTTTGACTTAAATACAGATTTTATATTGGGGGATGAGAAAGAGGGAGTTACTAAGAGTAGATTTTGGACGTCCACACCTGGATGAATGATAGTACTATTCATTAAGAGGGTAAACATTGGAAAATACTGGTGGGAAAGACCAGGAGTTTAGCCTGAGAAACTTTGGGTTTGAAATGTTTGATCTAGCAAAGAGGACCTTAAAGTAAGGTACTCTGAAACTCAAGGAGGATGTCTGGACTGAAAAATATGGGTTGGGTAAGATTTCTGAGGGGGGGCTGGTGCATCATAGAAGCTAGGTTAATAAAATCTTACAAGAAGGCGGGTATGATTAATGCTGCTGAAAGATAAGTAAGAGTAGAGGTGAAAAATAACCTGCATCTAATATTCTTTTTTTCTGCTCATATTTTTGCTATGAATTGGGCATTTTAAAAAATTAATTCATTTCACATTGAAGCCTAAGGAATATTGCCTTGTAAGGGCAGGCAGTGGGTTTGGAGTCACACATGGGACAATTCCAGAGGCAGCAGCTTCCCTAGAATAAAATTCTTCTAAAGAGTATGCAAAAATCTACTCAAGGAACAAGAGTTGGAATTCTCTAAACATTCTGCTCATCTGAATTAGACTTCATAGAATATTTAGACAAATACTTACATTGTTTCCACCCGAATTACTAATTGATCTGTAATGCCACAGGGACATAGAAAGAGGCAAATAGGATAGTAGTATAAAAAGTCCACGACGTGCAAAGTGTCAATAAAGATTATTTTAATGGAAAGAACCACTGAATGAAATTGTTAGGTCTAGGTTCTAATATTGGGTGTGTTACCCAAATACATATTGAGTGTTTCAGAGTCTCTAGATGTTTTTGATTTTTAGTCTTGAATTTAAAAAAGTGTACTCATTAACCTGAGTGAAAATGAAACAATAAAACAATGAAAAGATCTATAAAAATAAACCTGCTAATCCCTCCATAACCCACCCCTTCCAATAATCGATGCTAATAGCTTGTATCCTTTTATATTGTTTTTCATAGTAATAACATGACATACAAAAACACACACAAAGCACATGTTTTGTTTGTTTTTAAAAAACCAGGGATCACAATAAGCACATTACTCTGTAAGTGGCTTTTCTGATTTGACAAAAGCATATTGGATATTCCTCAGGTATAACATATATAGATTGAACTTAAATTTATTTTCTAATAACTACACAGTATTCCCCAGGGTGGAAACACTATGATGCATTCAACTACTTTGCTATTGATAGACATTAGAGGTATTGAAACTTGCATCTTAGAATTCACATAATGTAGAAATCAATATCTCATATAAATACTAAAGCATCCTGTACTGCCTCATGTTGTAAATGTCTGTGAAAAGAGCATATTACATTATAACATGGATTTATTCTAAAGATTTTTCTCTTTTAAGCTCATTATAAAATAACATTTCTGATTATTGATAGAAGTTATACAAAAAACTCATTCTCAGCTAATTTCCTTGATTCTTACTTCCCTGGAGTGAAGGGGTACCTAAGCAGTAAAAACAGACTCTATAAGTTCCTATGGTCAAATCTACCAATCCCTGCATCTGGGCCCATAAATACTGCTTCCCCTTATCATATAGGATGAATCACCCGTCTTCATATCCAAGGCCAAGCTCTCCAACTAGTGTGCTAGATACCATTGCCCCTCACCTACTCAAAGATATTACTCTAGAAATTCTCCTGACTACTTCATCATCATTCTTTCTTCTCTAGTTGATTTTCTATCAATATACAACTATCCTGCAATTTAATCCACTTCAAAACAAAATCCCATTTCCTCTTGATCCACTGGCCCATTTATCCACAATCCTTTATAGCAAACTCCTCTAATAAGTAGCACAGTTGTCCATATTCATTCCTTCTTCTCTTTTGGCAGTTCTTCTCTTATTTCTTGATCCCACTCCAATCAGATTTCTGTCATTATCACCACACCTCTCTCAAAAGAGTTCTTTAGAAAGTCACCAAGGACTTCCATCTAGCCAAATGTATGACCCTTTGCTTGTCTTCCTCTTAATCTACCAGCAGGATTTGGCCTAGTCAATCACTCCTTTCTTAACATTTCTTTTACTTCTCTCATGTATTTATTTATTTATTTAGAGACAGGGTCTTGTTATGTTGCCCAAGCTGGTCTCGAACTCCTAGGCTCAAGCGATCCTCCTTTCTCGGCCTCCCAAAGTGCTGGGATTACAGGCGCCAGTCACCACACCCGGCCCTACATCTCTTTTAATTTAACGTCTCTTAGGATTTTCCTCCTATTTCACTGGCTACTTCTCAGTGTCCTTTACTGTCCCCACCCCACTCTCAACTAAAATGTAAACTTTATGAAGAGAAGGTTTCTGTTTGTTTTTGTCTGTTTTGTGAACTGCTGAATACCCCAGCATTTAGAGTAGGGTCTGGCATGTAGGAGACCATAAACAAATCTACAATATGCTGAAAAAAATTTTTTACTTTTTTTATTCTTTTTGAGACGGAATCTGGCTCTGTCACCAGGCTGGAGTGCAGTGGTGTGATCTCGGTTCACTGCAACCTTTGCCTCCCGGGTTCAAGTGATTCTCCTGCCTCAGCCACTTGAGTAGCTGGGACTATAGGCACGTGCCACCACACCCAGCTAATTTTTGTATTTTTAGTAGAGTTGGGGTTTCAACATGTTGGCCAGTATTGTCTCAATCTCTTGACCTCCTGATCCACCTGCCGTGGCCTCCCAAAGTGCTAGGATTATGGGCGTGAGCCACCACGCCTGGCCAACTATTTTTGTTTTAACTAAATTGTCAAGGTAGGTACTAGTAATTCTAGCACTGTGGATCCCAGAAATTCTTATTAATTTGTGAAATGCCTAAATGGAATTAATTATATTCTCTCACAAACCATTTTCCCTGACTTTCCTAGCATAATTAATAAGACACCATTCATTTCCATAACAACCAGGATATTCAGAAGCACACTTAAATCCAAATTTAATCAGTTGCCAATGCTTATGAGGTTTTATGTTCACCATATCCCCTCCAACCAGATGCCTTTGCCTGTATCCTTCCATAGCTTTACACAGTTAACAGATTAATCTCCCTGAACTAGAAGATTGAGTGTGGTATTTTGCAATTGATAAATGTTACTAACTCCCCAAAAGCAACAGATGAAATACAAACTCCTCAGACTGGCCTTTAAGGCCAGACTAAATGCAGAACCTTTCTGCCCCATTACCTTCATACGGTGACTCCTAAATATCTGTGAAACAGAAACATTCCTTTTCCCTGAAGTAGGTACATGCATTCATGCAACAGTGTCACCGATTTTACAGATTTATCTTTACCCAGAATGACCCATTCATTAAGTACTTGTCAAATTGTACTTCATGTGATTTTACCTTAAACAGATTTTCCATATCCCATCTATTTATCTCACATGCCACTTTGTTTTGAAAGCATCCCTGTTTAGCTTGAATGATATCTAAATGACCCCACTTTGTGGCCAAATAATGCTCACTTAGATCACGTCCATGTGATGTCCCGTGTAGTCTTTCTAATTATCATTTGTACTCTTGTATGAAATATAAGCTGTACGTCAATTCCTTATTGATGATTAAATTCTGTACAGCACCTAACATAATATTTTGTGCATAATATATGCTTAACTGTAAAAGTTGTTAACCTAAGTTGATAAATAGGGCAAAATGTAGGGCAATCTTCAGCTAAATACCATTTTGAACTTGGATTTAAAAGAAAAATAAGATTGGGCATGGTGGCTCATGCCTGTAATCCCAGCACTTTGGGAGGCTGAGGCAGGTGGATCACCAAGTCAGGAGTTCAAGACCAGCCTGGCCAACATAGTGAAACCCCGTCTCTACTAAAAATACAAAACTTAGCCTGGCATGGTGGTGTGTGCCTGTAGTCCCAGCTACTTGGGAGGCTGAGTCAGGAGAATCACTTGAACCCGGGAGTCAGAGGTTGTAGTGAGCTGAGATCATGCCACTGTACTCCAGCTTGGGTGACACAGCAAGACTCTGTCTCGAAAAAGAAAAAGAAAAATAGTTTATATAGCTAAATATGTTATGATGAATATATTAATTTTAAATAAGTGACTTTTAAAATATAGATATATAATGTTGTATCTGCATATACATATTCAGTTAAAATATGCTTTGATGATGCAACAAAGTATTGCAATATGCTACCCCATAAGATAAAGTTATTCAAATTCATGTAATTCATCTAATGGCATATTTAACAGATACTAAAACTTTATATCTATAGTGACACAATTACCCAATTTTAATTAATGCATATAGCATATTTGTTTGCATATTACCTTAACACGTACACTGAAATGTAAAATATTTTCATCTGGATTTTTGTAGAGCAAAGTAATTGATAATGTGCTCCAATGATAAACTGCAGAAGTTGTCACTTTCTATACCCAGGGGAACGCTAATTAATCTTGAATAACCCTCTGAGACACAGAACATAAGCAATGTGCACATGGGAGGGAAATAATAATTCACCAGAAAATAAACACAGAGAAAAAACAGACTACATGTAAGCAAATACAATGAATATGATAGGTAATACCTAGTGTCACTTCTGGAGTTCACTTTGGGGGAATTATGAAATTCCCAGGACTAATTCTGAAACAAGATTATATGCATTTCTCAGCATTATATGGAGAAAACCTATGAAGAGGAATTTGGGGCTGGTACTAACTAACCACTGTCAGGGAGAATACTCTGGGCATGGCACTATTTTCATAGGCTAAGCAGCATTAATCTCAGAGCTTGAGATTGGATTACTTTGCCTGAGGGATATATACCTAAACAAAACAGGTGGCTTATTAAGAGGAAAGAGGGGTAAGCCTGGTTGGGCAGGCAAGCAATGCTATCTGCTAAAACAACCTGGTCTCAGTCTACTATTCCAGGTTTCACCTCTTGCCAGCTCTGATACACCCACATACATGCCTCTAGTATTCTAGCCAGGCCTAACGACTTACCATTTCCCCAGCATGTTGTAAATCAGAGCCGGCTTCATAGCCATAACTCCTGGGCAGTCACACCAGCAACATGAACTCAGAAGAGCCCCACACTTAGTTTATTTATTTTTTATTGTGGTAAAATACATATAACATACAGTTTACCATTTGAACCATTTTTAAGAGTAAAATTCAGTGGCATTAAGTGAATTCACATTGCAACTATCAACACCACCCATCTCCAGAACTTTTTCACCATCATAAACTGAAACTCCATGCCCATTAAAACATAATGCCCCGGCTGGGCATGGTGGCTCACACCTGTAATCCCAACCCTTTGGGAGGCTGAGGCGGCTGGATCATCTGAGGTCAAGAGTTTGAAACCAGCCTGGCCAACATGGTTAAACCCCGTCTCTACTAAAAATACAAAATTACCCGGGTGTGGTGGTGCATGCCTGTAATCCCAGCTACTCGGGAGGCTGAAGCAGGAAAATTCCTTGAACCCAGGAGGCAGAGGTTGCAGTGAGCCGAGATGGTGCCATTGCACTCCAGCCTGGGCAACAAGAGCGAAACTCCATCTCAAAAAATAAATAAATAAATAAAAACATAACTCTGCATTCTTCCCTCCCCTAGTCCTCAGTAACCACCTTTCCACTTTCTGTCTCCATGAATTTAACTACTCTAGGTACCTTATATAAGTGGAATCACACAACACTTGTCCTTTTTCTCAAATGTGGTTTAATGATTTTCTGTCACTGTCTTAAAACTGTCAATAATTTTAGAGCAAGGGCCTTTCCATTTTCATTTTGCATGGGATTCCTCACAAATTAAACAGCTAGTCCCGCTGTGAATTTTTATATCCCCTTACCTATATCTTCTCCACACCAAAAAACATCTCCATGTTCTTCTGGCCTCACCTAAATTTCATTTCCTCTGTGAGGTGAAGAGCGGACACTGCAGTCCCCTAAGCTCCTTAGAGTATTTGTATTTTACTCATTAAGGGCCCACTTCTCATTGCATTGTGACTCTTTGTTTTACATACGTCTTTCTTGCTGGGGGAATTATTTGTGTCTTACTTATGCCTAGTGCAGCACCTGGGTTATGGAATAAATTCAAAATCCATGTGTTGCAGCCCTAACTCCTGATGTATGGTATTTGGAGATGAGGCCTTTGGGAGGTAATTAGGTTTAGGTGAGGTCATGAGAGCAGGGCCCTCATAATAGGAGTAGTGGCCTTATAAGAAGAGACACCAAAGAGCTTGATCTTGCTCTCTCTTTCTGCTCCATTAGGGCACAGGAAGAAGGTGGCAGTCTGAAAGCTAGGACGAGAACTCTCAATAGAAATCTACCACACTCGCTCATCTCAAACGTTCAGCCTCTGGAAATGTGAGAAAATAAATTTCTGTTGTTTAAGCTGCCCATCCATGGTATTTTGTTATAGCAGCATGAGCAGACAACCTAATACATATTGAGTGCCCTAAAATATTCGCTGAACCTAAGAGTGACTGCAGGCACCCATGATGGATCACACTTGGCATTGTTGTTGGACTTTGAATTTAACAGGAACTAAAAGAGAATAATAGAACTTACCATCAGAAAATATGATCATTGTGATAATCCAGAAACTCTAGTCAGGGACACAATCCAGGCAGTTAAACTGTGACCTGTAGCTGCATCCTTATATTCTCAGGGAAGCATGACTCAAGTGTTGGACTCCGTGTTTTAAGTCATTGAATAGGCCTGCTCTAGTGTTTCTGATTTCGGAGATCTCTAGTTCCTTTTCTTTGAAATAAGGCTATGTTACTTCTGTGTATTTTTCATGTCAACCTTGCATTCTCATCAAGGGAGACCTATCACTAGACCCAAGAAGCATGGCTAAATAGGCTTCACAGCTTATATGATCACAAATTCATATATCGATAAAGTGCATCATAATCTTCAAATGTTGAAGAAAATGTTCTCAAATTGGAGCCCGTTGGCATAAATTAGCTCCCTTCCACACCCCATTACTAAAACTGAATAAAAGTTCTCCAAGTAGGGGGATCAGGATGGCACTGTGAAAAGGGCCTGCAGCAGGAAGTTGAAGTTACTTGTTTCTGGTCTACCAGCCATGTTCCTACTCTCTGTGTGACTCTGGCAATGAGGCTTTCTGAGTCTCAGTTTCTCATCTGTCAATAAAAAAGGATTTGATGAGCTGGATCTCCTTGAACTCTGAACACTTGAAGATTTCCTGTAGCCACCAAATTTTCTCTCACATAAAATGCTAATTACATGTAGAAAGTTAATAAAAAATATTTTCTTTATTGCTAGAAATCAACCAGGATATTTTAAATTAAATATTTTAGGATAGTCAACTTTGTGTGACAAAAGAAATACAGAGATTGTACTGACTTTAAATGAGGCTTCTCTAGTGAAGAGTTGGAAGCAAGGCAACGTGACCTCAAGTTGAACTACTGTTTGCACATGTTAGTTTTTGAAGGACATGATAGAGGTTATATGCTTTTGTTAATTACTCTTTTTATTATTCTTTTAAGTCATCTAATAGGTTTGTTCTAGTGTTTCTGTTAGGTCCTTTTCTATGGAATGAGACTACCTTACATGTTTGCATCTTTCATGTCAACCTTGTATTCTCATTTGGGTAGCTATGACAAGTAAACGAGTTTGGCTGGTGGAGAGCCTTACATAAAATGAAATGCTATAGTGCTGGGAATTCCTCTTTAATTTTAACTTTAAACTCGATCTTTGGGTTGCATGACTGACCACCTTGTTATTACCTGTACAGAAAAAGGTTCCACCGATAGCAACTGTCTTAGGTCCACAGACCAAAGACAAATGCTGCCATTGTGCAGTCTGGCATAATCTGTCAAGGAAATGCACAGGCATTGACAACCATTTCTTTCCAAAGTCAGGGCATTTCACAGGAAAAAAATTGCATGTCTATCACTTCTCCTTTTACTGTACATTATATTATATCTATTATACCTTGCTGACAATGGCATATTTTTCTCATTTTCCCTCTATTTTGTTGGCATACAATTTAGGGGATATTAACCATACCTCTTTTATAGACCTTCTAAACCAACACTTTATCTTTATTAAACATTATATAGTGGGACTTAGGTTCTTGATCTTTACAAAAAATGAACAAAAGTAATTTATGATAGAACTATTCTTTGTAGCATCCATAGATGAACATAGTCTTTTTTGTTTCATAGTCTTTGTTTTATTTATTGATTCAGAGTGGAGTTTCAAACAATTATTTGATAGGTACATTGAACAAAACTTTTTTCTTTAATTCTGATTATTATTTTTGTGAACAATACTTTTTTAAAAACTTCAATTTTTTATTTTCTAATATATACCTATACCTTAATTTTCTGTACTCGGGGTGGACAAACTTTCTCTACAAGGAACAAGTAAATATTTTAGGTTTTGTTGGCCATACAGTTTCTGTTACAATTAGTCAACTTTGCCATTTGGTGCAAAAGCAGCCATAGAAAATAGGTAAATGAATGAGTACAGCTGAGTACCGATAAAACATTAGGTAGGCTGGGTTTGACCCATGAGCAATTGTTTGCCAGCTCCTGCTCTATCTCAGTCTATAAGAGGTATTATACAAGTCATAAATATAGGATACCAAGATATGTTGATTTAGAACACTTTTCTACCAGCCATGTCACTTTAGGCATGTCTTAACGTATCTGAGCATCGTCATTTATAATTTGAAAGAGTTTAGTCTAGGCAGATGCTATCAATCTCTAATATTTTTATAGTCACTTGAGCAGTCCTTTGACTATTTATGAACAAATGCAAAGAAGCATAATGCTAACACTTGTAAGATTTTTTTAATCTTAAAAATTCTCGTTTGTAAACTTTATTGCTTTTCTTTGAAAAATAAACTTTTATAATTACTCAGTAACACTTCTGAGTGGTTACAAATGAAATGCTCCATTTACTCATAGATGACCTTTTAATATTGAAAAGGAAGGGTCTGAGGATACAATAAAGAGTCACATGAAGTTTAAGGCCACCTGAAAGTTAAGGCTGCTGATCTGGCCAGCTAGGCAGGTGTCACTTTCTTCCTCTCTAATCCCTGTCTGTACTTCTAAAGAAGGAGGAAGGTTTCAGAGAAAGCTTTATTTTTTAATCCTTCTGAGATATATTAGTGACCATGAATATGTGATAATTGTACTAAAAAGATTTGCTATTTTTCTAATTTGAGGCTTCTATTAACTGAGGAGAAATCCTAAAATTTGCTTTTCAATGTACATTTCCTTTTAGTATCAGTGAACTTACATGAAGTCTCTTGCAGAAAATATATATATTTTTACCAGAATGTGAAACTACCCAATTGTCAGTGGGCCATGTTTAACAAAAGACCTGAGATCTCCAAATTCTGTGCAGTCACCTAAGGTAGTAAAGTTTTATATGTGAGGGCCCATGATTTTTAGAATACTAACTGAAAAATAAATGCCAGCTACCACTTTCAGTACTTACATGGGTCATAAAAATCTGCTTTCTACCAAATTCCTGGTGTAACACCTGGGAGGAATCTAAGGACTGCTGTGAAAAGGTAAGTGATCATGTAAAATAATAAAATAAATCCATTCACTTTATCTTTATGTTTCTCTTATTAATTTTAATTCCAAGGATAAAACACAGAGAATAAAGAGAACATAGCAGTCACTAACATATATTAAAACTGTGACCCATTTTGTTTTGGAGAAGTTATCTTAAATTTTAATAAAATGCTATATTTGAACAAAAATTAAAATTTAAGTCTATTCTCTTTATTGTTTATTTTGGTTAGGAGTAAAGGAAGTAATGTGGGAGAGTCTGTTAGTTATAAGACAGCTATAGCAAGAAGGAAGAGAGAAGGCAAAAGTAGATTTTAAATCTAATTTGTGATAGGAAGGTTTTGTTACAGATTCAGTATTCTGTGGGGTATCTCTCTCTCATGAGACACTTTCTATGGGAAAAGTTGCATATGACAATTGCAATTTCTGCTATCTTCTGTTTAGTTGTACCTGTATTAAATTCCAGATAAGCTGGAATTATATCTGAAATGTCATAAATGAAAATTTTCTGTAAACTGCACTAAATTCATTTCTACCTTATAATTTTAAGAATTATATAACTTAATAAAACCATATTACTTATAAAGCTTGATTACTTTACAAAGCTAGAATGAGTGCCTGTTTTAAGAAAACTGCAATTATTTGATAAGTAATCATATTACATTATATTTCTCTGGGAGACAGCATAATAAGAGATGATTTATAATGATCTCAGTGAAATACATAATATTAATTTCATTTTACTATTCATATTTTGTTTATTTCAGGTTAGACAAAGGGTATTCCACATTTTACATGTTAGCAAATTCTAGTTTGGTTGGCATTCACTAAATGGTACTCTGCCAACCAAAAAGTTAATACGACTTCAATTTAATGATACTAGATGTTCATAAAGATGTCTTCAAAGAACTAAAAATTCCTAAATGCTTTTGGAAGCTTATTAAATCCAAATTAGGAGATACAATGTGGTTGTACTTTTGAGTATGTTTTAGTCATCCAATTATAATAGCCCATCAAAAAAATGTGTGTTATGCTACATATCTATTCCCCCATATGCTGTAAGATAATACCACTTTGTAATAATTGCAGCCAAGGTAGAAAGTTTTAAACAGCTAAGCGGAAATTGTTTAAAATAATAGCTAAACATTAGCATAGTATTTATAAAACAGCAGGCACAATTTTAAGTATGCTATTATGTATACAGATATATATATATAATGAAATGACATATGATGAAATGACACTCTGAGGTAAATACTGTCTTCTCCATTTTACACATGAGGGAATCAAGGACCAAAAAGATTAAGTAAATTGCCGAAGAAGTTGGCAACGGAATTGATTTGAATTGAATTTGTTGTGGCTCTGGCACATACATTCTTAGCCACCATGCTGTGCTACCTCAAGAGTTTTCTCGGCCATGTGCGGTGGCTCACAACAGTAATCCCAGCACTTTGGGAGGCCGAGGCGGGCAGATCATGAGGTCAGGAGTTCAAGACCAGCCTGGTCAACATGGTGAAACCCCATCTCTACTAAAAATACAAAAAATTAGCTGGGCGTGGTGGTGCACACTGTAGTCCCTGCTACTCTGGAGGCTGAGGCAGGAGAATCACTTGAACCCGGGAGGTGAAGGATGCAGTGAGCCGAGAGTATGCCACTCACTACAGCCTGGGCGACAGAGCTAGATTTCGTAAAAAAAAAAAAAAAAAAAAAAAGTTTTCTCCTCAGGAAGCGAGAGTTTACTTTCAGTTTTTTATTGCAATAACTCCATGGCTTTTCAGTCTGTTCTCTACATTATTAAAAATGCTTAAAGAGGGAAAATATCAACCATGTAAAGAAAAGGTTCTAATTAAGACTATTTTCAGGAAAAACTGCTACTTAGATAATTAGTATTATACAAATTTGGTTTCTGAGCAAAGCAATAAATTATTTTCCCATGAAATTCAATCAGTCAAACGAGTAAGATTTTATTTTTTAATGGCTTGTTGAGTTGTAGTCTTAATTAGATGCAAATAAAATTTAGGAAGAAAATTTAGTATCAGCATTCCTGGCAGTATTTTGCCATATCTAAACCCCTAAAGCCATGGTATAATTATGCTACATCTTTCCTCTAGAAAATTGTCTCTTAAGATGGCAAATTATAGCAAGACATAAGGTCTAATAAAATTGCCATGGTGATTTTAAGTTGTAATTTAGAAAGTTTAGTAGCCATTTCCACTTTTATTTATTATTTATTTATTTATTGAGACAGAGCCTTACTCTGTCACCCAGGCTGGATTGCAGTGGCGTGACACTCCACTCGTGACACTCGGCTCACTCCAACCTCCTCCTCCCAGCTTCAAGCGATTCTCCTGCCTCAGCCTCCCAAGTACTACAGGAGCATGCCACCATGCCCGGCTAATTTTGTATTTTTAGTAGAGACGGGGTTTCACCATGCTTGCCAGGCTGGTCTCAAACTCCTGACCTCGTGATCCGCCCGCCTCGGCCTCCCAAAGTGTTGGGATTACAGGCGTGAGCCACCACACCCGGCCCACTTTCACATTTTAAGAATAAAAGAGGAGGGTACTAATTTATATGATGTATATGTTTCTCACTTGTAAGAAGAAATTATGGTGATAAGATAGAAATTTAATTTTTAAAAGGCATTTTAAAGAGAAGAAAATAAACATGTTTAATATATGTTCTTTTAGTGAGATTTTGTGTCTTAATTGTGCTATCAAATAAAAATCACATAATATTGCCCATTCATTATATTATGCATTTTCAGGATGATAAGATTGTGCTTTTTAAGAATACATTATTCATATTATAGAAGCTAATTTTCAAGGTCTTTCCTTTACTTCATTCTTTTACAAATCAGATAAATGGGTTAAAAAATTTCATTGATGTTCTCCTGGAAAATATTTAAATTTGTATTTCTTTGACAATACATTTTCTCTTAGTTCTGTGATGTTTAAGTGTTGAATGCATGCAAAAAAAAAAAAGCTTGAAAATAGGCACCTCATCATGCAAAGATTTCCCTTCTCATTATATGTACAAGTAACAAGTGTATGTTTTCTCATATGTATATATATGTAAGTTAATCTGCCTCTGCATGCCATTATTAAATATCTTCATTTCCATCATAGTATTGCAGTCCACTTCTCCCACTCAGTAGTAATTTCCATGATGGCAAGAGACTTGTTAATATTGTCCAGAGTTTTATTACCTGTAGCTAGCACTTGCCTGGCATATAATAGATGCTGAATAAATGTAGATTCATTGAATGAATGATCAAATTAACTAATATGAAGAAAAAAGGAAATTACTATTTTTAATAAATGCTGAATAAATGTATATTTATTGAATGAATGAGCAAATTAAGTGATATGAAGAAGAGGGGAAATTATAATTTTTAATAATAACTTAAAGCATATTTGTTCTTTATTAAAGGAAAACCAAATTGTTTTTAAAATAATTTTGATACAAGAAAATTATTTTTATCAGAAAATGTTAAGTCATGTTGAAAAAAATGTTGCCCTAATCCATTTAGGTTGCTATTAAAAATACCATAAACTAGGTGACTTATAACCAACAGAAATTTCCTTCTCACAATTTTGGAGGTTGAGAAATCTAAGATCAGGGTGCCAGCATTGTCAGGTTCTAGAGAGGCTCTTCTTCTTCAGGGTCGGGAGAGGCAAAGCAGCTCTCTGGGGCCTCTTTTATAAGGGCACAAATTTGTTCATGAGGGATCTGCCTCATGAATGACCCACTTAACTCCCAAAATGCCTCACTGCCTAATACCAGCACATTGGATGTCAGAATGTTAACATATGAATTTGGTTGGGGGGGGGTGGGGCACAAATATTCAGACTGATAGCCTAAACCTATAAAATGAACTACAACATGAAACTATAGAGAAAATAATCAGATTTTCCAAAATTCTTTTATTATTGTTCACGTGGCTAAAGCAATCACAAAACATGATGACATAGATTAAAAAGAAAAAGTATTTGAAAGAAAAATGAAGTAAATTGACTAACTTGAAAGTAATATGTTTATACAAATGGATTTATGACAGTAGTTGAATGTTGTAAGAGACAAAATGAAGTACCTTCTCTTTTTCAAAATGTAAGATACAGCCTTAAATATTGGAGCTGTTAAAATTATAATCTATCATGAAGCATAAAGAAAAAATGCTAGATTAATGCCAAATTATTAAAAAGGAAGAAATGCAAACAACCAGGAATCCCAAAATATATTTTTTCTTTTAATATTTAGTTTGAATATTTACCAATTTCTAGACTTACTCTTTACTTTATAATTTGCACTTGATGTTTATGTAGGTATCTGTTCAAAGTATTTGCACTGACTCTCATACAATTTATACAATTTATCAGCCAAATACATATTTAAATAAACTAATAAGACATGAATTATATAATGCTATACCAACAAATGTTTCTTATAAAAATAAATTATAAAATAATGATAAAGGTTACTTATTTACCACCTTGGCAACTTTTATAAATACTGAATAATGGCAACTTTCATAAATAATAACTGTAAAATCAACTAGTGACTATGACAGCTTAATATACTAAAGGCTGGGCCAATTGATGTGAACATAATGTTATTTTATAATTAATTTAAACAACACTACTCTAATAAAGGAAACAACTATATTTTATGCATAGCCCTGCAATTGATTGTACCTCTTTTATGCTTTCTAATTTTAATATTTTAACAGTCTAAATAGCATCTTCCTGTCATTAGTGGAAATTGGTGAGGGTCTATTTTCATTTAAATCCTAATTAATTTCTAAAACATCTTGTCCTGAAGTAATATGTTAACGTAACTCTTAAGTATGTATGTGTAAGAAAAAAATAATTTACAAGTCTGTCTATTCTTGGCATTTGTTTCATGGAAAATCTGCTATTAATGAAATAATTTCATTTAAGTACTTATATTATGCTTCTATTGTCAATATATTACTCGATAATATGTGGATCATTAATTTCATGAATAAAATACTTTAATCCCTTGTACTGCATAATTAAACATATATACAGCACACTTCATTATATCTTTGTCTTTCCTTG
This sequence comes from Homo sapiens, assembly GCF_000001405.40. NCBI lineage: Eukaryota > Metazoa > Chordata > Mammalia > Primates > Hominidae > Homo > Homo sapiens. The sequence goes on along the minus strand of NC_000004.12, from coordinate 80,630,616 downwards.
AAATGATTCCCATATTCACAGAAAATTAGCATTAGTTGCCACTACAGTATTTTCTACGATATTATAAAAACATAATGTTTCATAAAATCAACATTTTATAATTTATTAAAAAAACACTATTATTAATGTAGTCATCACTCTAATAACCCAGAACTTTTAAAATATATGCTGTTCACCAAATTGTTTAGTAGAGAACAAATTTAAAGCATGATGTGAATTTTCGTTTTAAGACATCTTTAAAGGTAAGACTTTTCTGATAAGAGAAAAGTTATCAGAATATTCATATGCAACTTTCACAGATATAGAATGATGAGGTTCACTTTTGAATGATTTTACTTTACTGTTAATTTACTGTGTACGGCTTTTCTACTCCCTACCACAAGAAAAGAAAAACGTATACACAAAAATACTGCTTTTGTATCATTACTTCCATTCTCTTCTGGAAGGTCAGTTCAAAGTATGTTGGAGCCTTTCAATCTCATTATCCCGTGGAGGATTCTTTTTTTCTCCAAAATTCCTATCTCTTTGCCTTTCTTTGCTGCATTCTGGGTAAAATTCTCAGTCCTATGATCAGTTCACGAATTTTCTCTTAAACTATTTTCATTCTAGAATTTATTCCACCTAAACATTTTAAAAATTTCAATGAAAATAGCTGTATTCAGAAAAGTTTCAGTTGGTTCTATTCTCTACAATTTTTAAATAAATTTTTCTGGGTTTTTTTTGTTTTTTTTGTTTTTTTTTTTTTCCAGATACAGAGTCTCCAGGCTAAAGCACAATGGCATAATCATGACTCACTGCAACCCCTGTCTCCCTGGCTCCAGCGATTCTCCTGCCTCAGCCTTCCAAGTAGCTGGGACTACAGGTGCACACCATCATACCTGGCTAATTTTTGTATTTTTAGTAGACACCAGGTTTCACTATGTTCGCCAAGCTGGTCTTGAACTCCTGACCTCAAGTGATCCGCCCATCTCGGCCTCCCAAAGTGTTGGGGTTACAGGTGTGAGCCACTGCACTTGGCCAATTTTTTATAAATTGACAGATAAAAGTGCATATATTATTGTGTAGAGAACAGTATTTGAAATATATATACAGACAGACTGACTAGCATATGTATTCCCTCATATAGCTATCATTTTTGATTTTTGTAGTGAGAACAGTTAACATCTACTCTCTCAGCATTTCTCAAGAATACAATATATTATAAACTACAGTCACCAAGTTGTACAATAGAGCTCTTGAACTTATTTCTCTTATCTAACTGAAATTTTATATTCTTTGACCAACATCTCTCCCCCCTGACTCTCAAATACCCCAGCCCCTGGTAACACTATTCTACTTTCTACTTCTGTGAGTTTAACTTTTTAAGATGCCACATATGAGCAAGATCAGGTGGTATTTGTCTTTCTGTGCCCCGCCTATTTCACTCAACATAATGTCCTCCAGGTTAATACATGTTGTTGCAAATGACAGGATTTCCTTCTTTTTTATGGCTTAATAGTATTCCATTGTGTCCACATTTTTTAATCCACTCATTCAGTAATGGAAACTTAGGTTGATTCCATATCTTGGCTTTTGTGAATAATTCTGCAATAAACACAAAAGTAAAGGAATCTTTTCAACATACTGATTTCATTTCTTTAGATACATATTCAGTAGTGGGATTGCTGGATTATATGGCAGTTTTATTTTTAATTTTTTGAGGAACATCCATACTGTTTTCCATAATGGCTGCATCAATTTACATTCTCACCAACAGCGTGCAAGGGTTCCCTTTGCCGCACATTTTGCCAACACTTATCTTTTATCTTGAAGATACGCATTCTAGCTGCTCTAAGGTAATATCTCATTGTGTTTTTAATTTATGTTTCCCTGATTAGTAATATTGAGCTTTTGTTTCACATACTTTTTAACCATTTGTATGCCTTAAGAAATGTCTGTTCAGTTTCATGGCTCCTAATTTTATTGAATAGTTTGCCTTCTTGCTATTGAATTGTTTGAATTTCTTACGTATTTTGGAAATTAACCCCATAACAGATATACAGTTTGCAAACATTTTCTTCCATTCTGCACGTTGTCTCTTTGCTCTGTTGGTTGTTTTCTTTGCTGCACAGAAGCTTTTGAGTTTGATGCAATCTTATTTGTCAATTTTTGCTTTTGTTGCCTGTGCTTTGGGGTCATTTCCAAAAAAGTCATTGCCCAGATAAATGTCATAGTTTTTCTCCTAAGTTTTATTCTAGTAGTTTCATAGTTTTGGGTCTTACATGTAAGTCTTTAATCCATTTTAAGTTGATTTTTATATATGGTGTGAGATAAGATTCTAATTTTATTTTTCTGCCTGTGAATATCCTGTTTTCCCAAAAGCATTTATTGAAAGGGCTGTCCTTTTCCTATTGTGTGCTCTTGACACCGCTGTCAAAAATCAGCCAGCTGTAAATGCATGGATTTATTTCTGTGCTCTCTATTGTTTAATTGCTCTGTGTGTCTATTTTTATGCCAGTACCATGCTGTTTTGGTCACTATAGCTTTGTAACATATTTTGAAGTCAGGTAGTGTAATGTCTTTAGCTTTCTTCTTCTTGTTCAAAATGCTTTGGCTTTTCAGGAATTTTTTGTTATTCCATATGAATTTTAGAATTGTTTTTTCTATTTCTGTGAAAAATGTTATTGGTATTTTGATAGGAATTCTGTTGAATCTGTAGCTTGCTTTGGGTAGTATGGACATGTTAACAATATTAAATCTTCCAATCTATGAACAAAGAATATATTTCCATTTATGTGTGTCTTCTTTAATTTCTTTCATCATTGTTTTATGGCTTTTAGGGTAGAGATCATTCACCTCCTTGGTTAAATTTATTCCTAAATATTTCTTGTAAGTATTGTAAATGGTATGGTTCTCTTGTTCTTTTTCAGATAGCTTGCTATTAGTGAATAGAAACACTACCGAGTGTTGTATGTTGATTTTGTATCCTGCAACTTTACTCAATTTACTAGATAATTCTCACAGGTTTCTTTTTGTAAAGTCTTTAGAATTTTCTGTATATAGGGTCATGCCTTCTGCAATCAGGGACAATTTAATTTCTTCCTTTCCAATTTGTATGTCTTCTATTTCTTTCTTTTGCCTAATTGCTCTGGCTAGCACATCCAATACTATATTGAATGGAAGTGGTTAACATGGACATCCTTATCTTACTCTGTGTCTTAGAGGAAAAGCTGTCAACTTCTCCCCATTGAGTTAGCTATGGGGTTTATCATATATAGCTTCAATTGTGTTGAAGTACATTCCTTCTATACCTAATTTATTTAGAGTTTTTTAATCATGAAAGGATGCCAAATTTTTCCAAATTTTTTTGCACCTACGGAAATGATTATATGCTTATTGTCCTTCATTCTGTTCATGTAATGTATTACATTTACCGATTTGCATATATAGGACCATCCTTGCATCACTGGAATGAATACCACTTGATCATGATGAATAATATTTTCAATGTACCATTGAATTCAGTGTGCTAATATTTTGTTGAGGATTTTTGCATTTATATTAATCAGAGATATTGGTCTGTAGGGTTTTTTGTAGTTTTTTGTTTGTTTGTTTGTTTGTTTGTTGGTATCAAGGTAATGCTGGCCTGATAAAATAAGTTTGAAAGTTTCATCTCCTCAATTTTTTGGAAGAGTTAAGCAAAATTTTTATTAGTTCTTCTTTAAATATTTGATAGAATTCAGCAGTGATGTCACCATGTCCCAGACTCTTCTTTGATAGGAGACTTTATTGCTGATTCAATCTTTTTACTGGTTATTGGTCTGTAAAGATTTTTTATGTCTTCATAATAAAAGCATCAAATAATTTATCTGTTTCTCTAGGTTACTGAAATGGTTGGTATATAAATGTTCATAATAATCTCTTATGGCCCTTTGAATTTCTGTTGTGTCAATTGTAATATCTCCTTTTCCTGTTCTTCATTTTACTTATTTGACTCCTATTTCATTCTCAGTTAGTGAAGCTAAAGTTTTATTTTGTTTATCTTTTCAAAAATATATATTTTTCTATTATTTTTCCAGGCTCTATTATTTTATTTCTGTCCTGATTTTTATTATTTCCTTCCTTTTACTAACTTTGGGCTTAGTTTATTCCTGTTTTTTGCAGTTCCTTGAAGTACAATGTTAGGTTGTTTATTTGAGATCTTTTACCTTTTGTAATGTCACTGTTTACAGCTACATGCTTCCTTCTTAGAACTGCTTTTGCTGTATCTGGTAAGTTTGGGTATGTTGTGATTCAATTTTCATTTGTCTTAAGAAATTTTTAAATTTTCTTTCCAATTTCTTCATTGACCTATTAGTTGTTCAAGAGCATTTCCATTTGCCAAATTTTCCAAAGTGTCTCCTCTAATTAATTTATGTTAATTCTAATTAATTGAGGTCAGAATAGCTACTTGATATGATTTCAACCTTCATAAATTTGTTAAGACTTGCTTTGTGGCCTAACATATAATCTATCCTAGAGAATGTTCCATGTGGAGTTGCAAATAAAATAATATATATTCTGCAGCTTTGGGGTGAAATGTTGGGCATATATTTGTTATGTCCACTTGATCTAGATTATGCTTTTAGTTTACTGTTTCCTTATTGATTTTCTGTGTGAATGATCTGCCCATTTCCAGAAGTGGGGTGTTTAACTCCCCTAAATTTATTATATGGCAATCTATTGCTCCCTTCAAATTTATTTATATTTACTTTATATCTTCATCAGCTTGGATATTGGGTACGTATATATTTGTAATTGTTATATCCTCTTGCTGAATTGACCCATTTATAATGATACAATTATGTTACTTTTTCTTTTTACAGTTTTACTTAAAGTCTATATAATCTGATATAAGAATGGCCACTCCAGTTTGTGTTTGGCTACCATTTACATGCAGTATTTTTCTCCAGCCCTTCACTTTAAGTCTATGTGTGTCCTTACAAGTGAAGTCAGTCTCTTGTAGGTGGCATATATTTGGATCTTGTTTTTTTGTTTTTTAAATTCATTCAGCTATCTTACACCTTTTGATGGGAGAACATAATCCATTTACATTCAAAGTAATTATTGACAGGTAAGGATTTACTACTGCCATCTTGTTAACTGTTTTCTAGTTTTTTCATAGATCTTCTGTCTCTTTCTCTTTTTCTGTCTTCTTTTATAGCTAAGTGATTTTCTTCAGTGTTGTTTTGATTGCTTGCTTTTTATTTTCACATACCTATGATAGGTTTTGCTTTGTGGTTTCCATATGACCTACAAAAAATATAACATGTTTTAAGCTGAAAACAACTTAACTTTGATAACATACACACACATACACACACAGACACACCATCTACTTTTACTCCACTCCCCAAACCACATTTTGAATTTTTTATGCCACAATTTACATCTTTTAATATTGCAAATCCCTCAATAAGTTATTTTGGTTATTTTTAATAGTTTTGTCTTAACCTTTATAATACAGATTTAAGTGATTTACACACCACCATTTCAGTATCAGAGTGTTTTGAATTGAACCATGTATTTACTTTTACCAGTGAGTTTTATACTTTCAGGTGTTTTCACGTGACTTATTAGTGTTTTTTTCTTTCACCTTGAAGAGCTCCCTTTAGCATTTCTTGTAAGACAAGTCTGGTGGTGATGAACTCCCTCAGCTTTTGTTTATTTGGGAAAGTCTTTATTCCTCCTTCATTTCTGAAGAATAGTTTTGCTGAGCACAGTATTCTTGATTGACAGTATTTGTTGTTCTCAGCACTTTAAATTTATCAACCTCTTCTCTCCTGGACTATAGAGTTTCTGCTGAGGAGTCTTCTGTTAGCCATATTAAAACATTTTTATACATAATTTTCTTCTTTTCTCTTGCTGTTTTTTTAAAAATCCTCTCCTCATTGATTTTTGACAGTTTGGTCATAATATTTTTAAAATAGTCTTATTTGCATTGAATCTGATCAGAGATATTTGACCTTGTTGTACCTGGAAATTGATGTCTTTCTCCAGATTTGAAAATTGTTCTGCTAGCATTTCTCTAAAAAGGTTTCTTACCCCTTTATCTTTTTTTAATTGTATTCCCTGACTCAAATGTTTTGCTCTTTTGTTGCTGCCCCATAAATCTCATAAGCTTATTTATTTATTTATATTTCTTTTTTTCTCCTCTGTATATTTTTAAATAATCCCCCTTCAGTTTCACAGATCCTTTCTTCTTGATCATTTCTGCTGTTGATGCCATCTATTGAATTTTTCATTTTATTCCTTGTATTTTTAAGCTCCAGGATTTGTTTGCTTTTTACTTATTTTTTTCAGTCTCTCTATTATTATCATTCTGGTCAAATACTGTTTTCTTCATTTTGTTGATTTGTTTCTTTGTATTTTTGTTGAAGTTTGCTGAGCTTCCTTAAAACAGTTATTTTGTCATATATATCATATATCTCTATTTTTAGGAACAGTCAATGGCACCCTTATTTTGTCCTTTTGATGATGTCATGTTGTCCTGATTGTTCTTGATATTTGTAGTCATGCATCAACATCTGCATATTTGAAGAACTAGGTACTTATTCCAGCCTTAGCAGACTGGCATTTTTCTGAGAAAATATGCAATAGGCACAGCATTGGGTTATGTTCAGTGCAGTTGCTGCTGGCATGGCACTGGGTTGCTGCCTGAAGCCTGGCGTACACTGAGAACTGCCTGCCACAAGGGATGTCTAGAGCTACCAGAAATCAAGTCTTCCACACAAGCCTGAGACGTGGGGCTGTGTGGTCCTGTCTTGCACTAGGATGATTCTAGAGACTCTGTCTGCAGATTCTAATCTAGAGTATGGGGCTGTGGGGGTCTGCCTTATGCTGGGTTACACTGTGTTGGTGTCAGTATTGGGGTCCAAGGCAAATTATATGCTCACTTTCTTCTCTTTTCCCTGAGGAAATGGTGTCTCTAGATGCATTGTGTTGCCCGGGTTTGGTGGAGGAATGACAGGGGTAATGCAAAACTGTCCTTTCCAGCTTATCAATATCTCTTTTCTTAGCATTGTGCTACAGCCAGATACTGTGAAAGCTTTATCTTGTTTCCTTAGCTCTTGCAAGAATATTTTTGTGTATGGATAGTTGTCAAAATCAATATTCCTGTGGGGTGATGACTGCCAAAGAGTTCTACTTTGCCATCGTGTTCCACCCATCTCTTCGTTTGGTTCTATACATGTCTAATTATTTTTGTTTCATTTCTGCCTTTTTGTTTCATAATTTTTGTTTGTTGCCATGAGTATTAATATTAGACTATTCCCTAATATTAATTTTATCTTGGACATATTCTTGTGCATTTTGCCTGGTATAGTTGTCTTTCTTAACATCGATTAGTTTACTTACATACTTTAGAATCTTGATTTGCAAACTCATTTGAGTGAAAGGAATACCCCTTTCCCCTCCTTTCTCTCTCCTGCCAATATTAGCCTTCCTTATTTCTTGTTGAGTTGTTTCTACTTACCCTACTAATAAATTGAGTGTAGAACAGAAGCATAAAATATTCCCTTCCTGATGAGATCGGTCAGTCACTAACCCAGTGGGCAACTTAGAAACTAACTTAATTTCCACTTTTTTAAAAAAAGTGACATGTTGATCCTCTCACTTACTTTGGTCTACAGTGTCCTACAAAGCCATAGCCCCAAGCTCATAGTTACAAATATAATGCTAACCTCCTTTCTTGAGAGAAAATTGATTGAGCGAGAGTCATTCTCATCCCAGACATAAAGCAGTAAGCCCATTATCTCTAGTTTCAAGTATTGCATGGAGTTTTTTTAGATGATGTGAGTCAGCAGTTGCTTCCTAGTGGACTGCAGCTGTAGACCCACTCACAACCTGGCATTTCTGGCCTATAAAATATTGATCTTGCTTTTGAGCCCAGATAAATCTTATAGGTTTTCTTAATTTTTTAATCTTTCACTGATATTATTTGATGTAGACATGGTACTTTAAATATAAACCCATTTTGCTATCTGAGTGAGAAATGCAAAGTTATTATTAGAAACATATTGACAATAAAAAATTATAAAGGCCAGTCAAGTTATTATATTATGAAACAAGATGGTTTTAGAAAAGATGCCTATAGAAATAGGCAAATCAACAAAATGAAGAAAACAATATTTCACCAGAATGTACTGAGTTTTGAAACAGAATGCTAATCAATATTCTGTGGATCTAACTCAGCTGGGGATGACCCAGTCCAGATAGTAGTGTTATAGTGCTGTTAAAATCACTCTGTGTTGATTTAACCAATAAAATAAAATGTCTCTGCATTGGTCAGATCAACTCTAGACTGTTGCATTTATGTTCAGTGCAATCGCCCTTCACTTCATTCATCTCACATCCTCTTACCTGGACTATTGCAAGCTCTCCCAATTAGTCTCCTATTATGTTTTTCCTCTCTCATGATCAGAAAAATTATTATTCAAAAATAAAATAATGGCTTATTTTTGCATTAAAGAGTCCAATATTTCCCTGTGCTTATAGGACAGAGCCTGACTTCCTATGTTTGGGATTGACAGTCTGTATGATCTGACCCCAACTATAATCTCAACTTGTTTAACTGACACTTAAGTGCCTTCTCTGTCAGCCAAAACTTTCCCAACACAATGCATCACTCTATCACTACTGGTTTTTCTTCTAACTGGCTCCTCTACCCACAATAGTTTGTTTTCTCCTCCATATGCTCCCCTTAGCAGTCCTCACCCCACCATCCCACAAATTCTTATTTCTTTTAAGACCTGGAAAATTCTTACTGCTTTTAAGACCCAGGACAAATATCTTTCTTTCTGAATGCCACAGCATTTGACTCACAGCTCATTTGAAGCATTTAATCATGCTGTAATAATTACTTGTTGAAGCATTTACTATATCATATTACTTTTATAATTATTTTTATAAACAAATAATTAATATAACTATAAGACCTTCTAGAGTCTTTGTCTCATTTATCCCAGGATTTTCAATATCTGGAATAGTGCTTGGCATACAGAAATACTCACTCCATATTTGTGATAATCCAGCTTCAAATCCAGTACAATATCCCTCTTCCAAACTAGCTGTAAGAATTCATTTATTAAATCAACAAATGATATTGTGTCAGAAGAGTGTGCAAAGAATGGGATGAGAGATTAGAAACTGTCATATGAAAAAGAGTGAAAAATAACAAAATATTTATTTTAGGTATGAAAATATTTGAGGGAGACAATAACTTTGTCTGTAACTATTGGTAGAGAGTTTTACTTGGTTTATCCAAAAACAATTTCTTTAAATCTGATACTTAATCATTCATAAACTATCCTAATAGAACTACTTGACATGTTCAGCAGTCCAAGCCTACCCATTGGGAAAAGGAAAGAAGTTATCTTCAGGTGCCAACATTCAAATCATCTTAAAGTTGAATGTAGCCCCTTGCCTATAACTGAATCCCCCCAAAATTCTATTTTTTGTTATATACTAAATATTTAAGGCAATAGTTAAAGGAAGGAAGCATTCTACTGAAAATATCCACTGGGAATCTATTAATGATAGGGTGTCAGTGCTTTAATAAAGGTTACTTGGTTAATGATAAAAAAAAAGATAGGCTGTTAGGTAAGTGCGGAACTTGGAAGTAGCAACCACAGAAATAACAGCTTCAATTGTTTTGATAATCACTGTCTGTGAGACACTCTATATACTTATGTTATTTAGTTTTCATCATAAACCAACTTCAAAAGGCACACATTATTTCTCTCATTGTATACAACAGTCTTATAGAGGTTAAATTGCCAAAAATGTCATGGCCAGACAGAGATGCCAGAATTTGAACCCAGATCTGCTTTACTCAAAAGCCAGTGTTCTGTTGACTTTCTGTAGGGAACAAATTTAAGCAGACAAAAGAGGCAGGAGAGATAGTCAGTAATGTAAAGTTGATTGAAGATGGCTTCAAAGAACTAATTAAATCAAGGGATGAGAATGATGAAAAGAATACAGAGACTGATCTGGATTTATCAGTATGGCATCAGGAATCAAGCCATCATCCTAAAGCAACTGAAACATAGTTTAAGTTCACCCAATTGTAAAGCAAACAGAAAATCCAAAATATAAATATAAGATGTGTTAAATTCTTTTCAAAACTGTTATATGAACATGTCTGCTATCCCTAAAAGTAGAGCAACAACTTCTTCATCACTATGCCATGTCTGGCAACTCCATGGTCATTCCCTTGTCAGCAAATTGCTCTTTTCATTCTTCTCTGGAGTGATTCACTCACTGATTTGCTACCCATAAAAAGTTATACATGGTATAATGGTATTACTTCTCTTAATATACCAACAAGCAAGGGTAGTGACATACATGCAACCCTGAAACCCTGAAGATTGTTGTGTCTATAAATCCACTGCACAGACTTGACCACTGTGCTCTGCATGCAGGTATTGAATCAAGTGTGTGCTGATGGATGGATTATTTTCACATCACTTTCCATACATTTAACTCATGAAAATATTTAGCATTCAGTCTAAGAACAAGAACAAAGACAAAATAATGCCTTGTGCTTTATATCATATATTTAAAAATTGTTTCCACAATTCTACATCATTTTAGTCTCTCAATGCTTATGATTATTGATGGTATTTTTCATTAATATAACAATATGTTTCTATAGAAATTGGAAAATGATAATTTTGAAGATTATTTCATCATTTTCACAGGGGAAAATAAACAGTCAAAATCCACTGTGACAAATTCTCTCAATCCCAGTTTATCTCATTATAATTAAGAGATAATACATGATCACTTTATTAGACACAATATATTATATGTCTATTAATAAAATATATGTGTGAAAGCATATTTTAAACAGGTAAATGAAATAAGCTGTCACAGCCAGTATAGGTGCCTGGAAATCACAAGAGAGTTGTAACTGCTTAGTAAATACCTAGTCATTGACTGCACTGTGTTTGGAGATGACAGCAAACACTGTATTCTGTATTCAGCCCTTCAACAGTATTGAATATCTAAAGAATATTTAACTATATTCTAGATATATAATATGTAAGCCATCTAGTTAGGTGGCTGAACACAACATATAATAAATTTATGTTTTCTGCTCTTATTGGTTTCTTCTTTCAGTAGTGAAGAGAATAATAAAGGTTGTGGAAATGGGTCACTAAAGTTCTTCAACACTAAGTATATTCAGAAAATTTCATGTGGCACAATCAGAAAGATTAATTATTTAAAAAAGCATAAGAAGGAAATAGAATGTCAACGCTGAAGAGAAGGTCCTTCAGTGCTCTATGACTGCACCTTGGACAGGCCACTGCCACCTTGTGGCATTTTGGTTCAAATAGTTTTGATACATGACATTCCAAATAAATCAGAATAAAGTTTGAATTTAAAAGTGGTAATCTTTCCTGAATGCTTACTTTGGGAGTAAACTGTTTCTAGCTGTGTTTTAATGCTGTGAGAAGTAATTATTTTTATATTTTGTTTGCATTTTCACATGTTCAGACAGAATAATTACCATCTAACAAAATAAAATATTCAACTGCTTAAAATTGTCTCTAATTTCTGAATGACTTCAAAAAGTAATGGAAAGCCAAAGATCCCTTAAGTAATAAATATTACACATACAGGTGTCATACTCCTCTATTTTTTAATGAATAATTTTAGCACGGTTTTCATATGTACTTTAAACAAAGTTTTTATTTTATTTCTATTATTGGAAAGCATTTCTTTTCAGCTCCCACGATTAGTAGTTTATTTTATTTATGATATTATTATATTATACTTACCCTTATTACACTAAGTAAAAATCCACTTGTTATTAGCCAACTTATCCTCAATTGGACTGGGAAGGAATTAATGTAATGTATCTTTTAGTTTAGTAGCAATAAAAGTCATGGAAATAATTGGAGTTCATGTGGCTAATTAGGCTGCAAGATCCTTCAGAGAGAACTCCCCTCTGCCTCAACTACTTTTACATAACTTTTATATGATTTTTACGTATGTTTCCATGTTGTCTTCTAAGAATCCATTGATGTTTACTTCATATTACTTTACCTCTAAATTATTTCTATATATCCCTTCATTTTTTTCCTAATACAGTAGAGATCACCAAAATTTTGGATCTATGACACACTTTTGATTATAAGAATACCTGATAAACTTGAAAGGAGTATATTGCATTATTATCAAAGTACATACTTGGCTGGTTGTCCTTCAGTAGTATTCATTGTTTGAGAAAAACTGTTTACTCTCCTTACTCACATGCTCATGAGAGAAAATTTTTACACATTGTAGATAACAACTTTTTTTCTATAAAACAGTTTGCCTTTATACTGTATCTCTTACCTCTTAATTCTAAGAAGTATGCTTTGCTCTACCTTTAATTTTTTTCTTTGAACACCTGAAAGAGTAAAGTTTATTCCTTCCAGACTTGACTTTCAACCATGACCATGAGATACTTCATATGCTATCAGGGTTTCATTATTACCCCTTCATCCCGATCTTTCCTCTTTGCAACATGCATAGGACAACCTATGCGGTATGCAAATGACCATACATCACAAATTTTTCTTTTATTCCTCCAATTTTGATGGTTAGTTTCTTTTCCTTCTTAATTTAAGTTAATGACTATATATTCCATTCTGAAAGTAAGAAAACATGACCCTACGTATTTTTAATTCCTTTGGGCAGATCTTTAAATTGTAATTACTCAGGTGGGCCAGGAAATGCAGTGAGACAATTTCAAATGGCTCCTTCCTCTGTTAATGTTTTGACCACACAAGAAAAAACATATCAAAATGCTTACCCTCTAGTTTCAATATGCTTTAAGGCACATTGGTTATCCCTTAGTTCTTTCATCTATGCCCTTCCCTATTAAATGGATTCATTTCCATAGTTTTGGTTATCATTATGATGGGCACTTTTATGTAGGAATGCCTTTTAACATTAAGTGGGAATTTATGTCTGCCACCCTTAATGGAAGTAATTTGAAGTAATTTTTTTTCTATTGTGAAGTGTTAATAATAGGATTTGAGAAGAACATTCCCCTCTAGACTACAGACCTCTTGATCCATCTGAAATGATCCTAGGGAAGTGGACAAGGTTGTACCATGAACCAGACTGATCATTTGGTGAGTTCATAGCAAGTCATTCATTCTCTTGCTCTGCAAAGAACAAAAAGCTAAGTTGATGGCAGGGTATAGGGGCATCTCACAGTCAGGAAGCTGGGGCTGGTGGTCAAGCTCAAGGTAAGCCAGGCTCTTTTTCAATTAATGATAACATCTAACACAATTTTGAGCAACTCCAGGTAAATATGACATGTTTCTTAGCAACAACATGGCCACTAAAATAGAAACACTCCCAAATTTTCCCATTCAGAACTAATCTCCTGTTACATCTCCAAGGGCCTATCTAATATTCACAATTTCATTACTTTTTTAAATTACCATTCCTTTAATGATGAACCACCTGTCTTTTCTTCATTTTCTTTTTCTTTTTTCACACTATAAATAGTGGTCTAGTACTCTCATTCATATATCTTTAAAATCCTATTTCCGTAGATAGTTTTAAGAGTTGGAATTGCTGGATCTATAGTTATATTCATTTTAGTTGTATAGAGATAGATAACTTCTCAAAAATGTTATGTTGAGGTATTCTTCCATTAGCAATTCATCTCAGCATCTTTGCTAACATTGTTAATTTATTAAACATTCAATATTTAGAATTCTTAAAATAAATATATTATGTATAAAATGTACATATGTATGTGTACATATGCATGTCTAATTATACCCCTATATAGATGTTCTATTTTCTGCTCATTTCTCATTAGGATTGTGTATACTTGTTCAAGAAAATATTTGCATCTTTTATCTGGCTAGTATGTTGGGACCATCAGTACATCATACAGCTCCGAGAAGTATAATGAGGGTTAATCTAAATATACATGCTTAGGGCCCCCCAGGAAAGCACGTAATGAAGTGAGACGAGCATTGTCTGAGTGTCAGGAGTCCTGGCTGCCCCAACTTAGCTACTAACTTGCATTGGGAACTTGGGAAAGTCACTTTTCCTCACTCAGTTTGTTTTTTTTCATCTGTAAAATAAAGTTGGGACTAGATGATCTCTACAGCCCTTTCAGTTTGGGGGTATTATTTATGTATATATGCATATTTATAATACATAATATATACTTATATGTATAAAAATTACACATATAAAAGTACACGCGTGTATATAAAAGTTTATATGTATATACAAAACTTTATAGTTCTTTTGAAGTCTTTTATATGAAGTATTAGCATACACAGCCAATAAGTTCAGCTTCAAAAATTATCTATTTTGCATATTTTGGAGCAAACAGAAGGCCTGGGATCACAAGGAAGAGTCACATGGGCCTGCTTCCAGTCCTAGGCACCATAGATACACAGGTGAAACTTTACAGTTGAGTTGGGAAGACAGAAGCAAAAACTTACATGGAAACAGCCTGTGATACAATTAAATGTAATATTTGTTAAATTTTTAGGTGAAGTTAATGCTCAGACATCTGAGGTTATATTGACCAGTTGAGAGGAGAGAGTTCTGTTTTCTTAGAGTGAGTTAGTAACTGAGTATTAATATAGGAAAGTAGGGTCAATTACCTATTCCTAAAAGCTGAAGGAATGAACGGAGGTGAGAGTGACTGCCCCTGCAAGGTATAATACTTTGAAGGAGGTATTGAGGGCCAGAAGCCCATTTCACTCTTGGGCCACAATCAATAATGTGGTTACTTTTAATAGAAGTGCCTCAATTTCTCTGAAAGGGCTTGCAGAGGTTGCTGAATGAAATAGGGAAGGATCCTATTTAGAAGTAATTTATAAATTACTTCTTAACTATCTTGCTAAAAGTATCAAGATGTATGCCTAAGCAGGGCATGGTGGTTCACACCTGGGATCCCAGCTACTTGGAAGGCTGAGTAAAGGAGGATCACTTGAACCCAGGAGGAGTTTGAGGCTGCAGTGAGCTATGATCATGCCACTGAACTCCAGCCTGGGTGACAAAGCAAGACCTTGCTTCTGAAAAAAAAAAAGAAAGAAAGATGCCTGCAAGCCTACCTTAGAGTGAATCGATGATGTAAGCTTTCTAATCCAAAGTAGATACACTACAATAAAGTATTAAAATATTTTTAAAGCTTTACTTTGTAAATAAGTATGACTTCCAACAACCCATTTCTTATACATAGACACAAATATTAGAAAAAGTAAATACATTGTTATTTACTTTGCACTTGTACAAGTTAACTTCCATATCACTGTTTACCTAGCCAATGAACAATATTTGACCAGTAGATAGCCGGCGATTTCTAAATTCTGCACTCTGATTGTTTGCAGTTCCCTAAGCTCAAATCAGAGTTCCTAAAGTCTACTAAACTAATTTGCTCAGACTAGTAAATATTAGCAGCTGTAGTTCTCAATATTAGTCAAAAGTTAGTGGCTGCATAGAGGGCCATAAAGAGTTAATGTAATAAAATATAGAAATTTTCAAATAAAATACATCATTAAAATATGAATGAAGTTTTAAGACATGTTACCACTGAGGAAATCCATAATATCACATGGTATTTAACATATAATTAGCTGATAAACATTTAAGTGTATCTGTGAAAAAATGGGAAACCAGGAGCTATAATTAAATATAATAATTTACAATGTTTTGGTGTAAATGCAACCAAAGGTGTCTCTTGTATGTTGACATTAAAATTGTGTTTTTCTCTGCTGTTCAGATACCATTTCAAAACATTTCAACTTCAAACAACATTTAAACAACATGTGTAAGCATTGTTTTTACAAAATGTTTAATAAATGAGATTAATTCATTGAAATTCAAGACTTGTAACCACATTCAGAAAGAGCCATATTGCAAGCAATTGTTAGTACTTAATCTGTCAACTTAAGAAACAAAAGAGGGAAAGGAATGAAAAAGCATTGTCCCAAGTCTTCTAATTTCTCTGTCAACCAAACTACATTAACTTTGCTCCCAACCTTTTAGGAGGCAGGCAGGCCTCTGACTACACCCGCCGCACATGCTGCCCCCGCAGAGTGCCTGCTCTTGGTGCTTTCCCGCCTTGCAAATCAAATCCGAGCCATCTTCTCTAACGACAGTATTTGTGATGCCTATTAGATCAAGAGCTCCTTTTCAATAGAAGTGCCTTAGTTTAAAGTTAGTGCCTCACCACTAGTATGGACTGTTTGTCATCTCCATTAAATATACAGCTATGGGGATCAAGGTCATTATTAGTCACACAAATTCACCTCTTAGGACACTTTCAGGAACATATTTTCTATTTGTTTTGAATCACTCCTTGAAGACTTAAAATATTCTAAGTAGCCGTTAATTTTAATCAAAACTGTTTCCATTAGGATAGAAAAAAATAGCATTATTTCAGTGCAAACTGACAACATTCTGTTGGAGTAAATATCACTTGAAAATAGGTGACTTGTTATGTATACAGAAATGAAAAGGGGAATACAAAACTGGAAGTGTCCTTAACAGACAAAGCAGGTGCTCACAAACTACAGTTCCAAATAACAAAACCCAACTTTATACTAATTGGAAAACAATAATAATACATTAAATAAACTGGAGAAAATGAATCAAACATGTGCCTGCCTGCCTTTCTGTAGCAAAGGTATAAGGAATAGCGAAGAGTTATCAGAGTTATAAACTGAAGAGAGATGTATGTTTTCTCCATCATTTTTGTCTCAGCTAACAGTGTTTTGGTCAAGCATTAGTCTTTGCAAGTACAAATGAATTGTGAAATACAGTCAGTTGTAGAGCAGGACCATCTTAAAGTGCACAGGGAAATGATGTTAAACTGAAAGGCAGTGGGTTTCAAACTTTAATGAGCCTAAGCCTGAATACCAGATGACCTAATTCACTGGTCAGCTTTCTACAAAATCAACATAGGTGATTCTGATGCAAGTGACAGATGGACTGCATTTTGTAGAACACTGCTATGTGGTATGCATGCATAGCAATAAAACATAAAAGTCAGCTGAAATTTTGGTGAAGGAGATAGGTTCAGGGAGGAAAAAGTGTTTCTATTTGTCTTAATTGACATTATGCATGTAACCTAGATCTGAAGAGATAATGAAAGAAATAAAGTAATTTTTGTTTATAATAAATTGAGTTGAATGATTTAAATCTATTTGAATTAACATACGTACTACATCAGTTTTAGAGTTAAATCATTCAGTAAAATAATGTATTAATTATCCTTAGAAAATGAGAGGTTCCACAAAAGATGTGACACCAAAAACTTCAGGTGTCAAAGCTCTGTATATTTTAGCATTTCTATGGACTCTTTCTAAAATGAATTTTCTACTTCCTGCACAAACCAAATATACTAGAAAATATTTAAACTGGTATAGGTGACTTATGACATTTACCACTGAGTTAAGATAAAATATCTTGAGTTAATATCTCAAATCTGCCACTTACTAGCCTTGGGGAAATTGCATAGCTCCCCATGCCTTGCTTACTTATTTGTGAAATAAGTTGCATATCTCATGTAGGATTATGGGGAATCAAATGTGTAAATGCATATGAAAGAGCCTCATAACATGTCCAGCACTTCATCATTACTTTTCCTTTCTGTCCTAGGCTGTTAGTCTTGCAATTCTCACTGCTATACTTGGTTCTTTCAGCTTAATGTTTTTTATCTTTAGAAGGTGACTAAAACAGACAATCAAACTTGTTAAGAACCACGTGCTAAATGAAAGTGAGTGCCCAAGGCCACAATATTAGGGTTTGAACTACTTAATTAATTTAAAACTATGTACCTAATTCAGAGTTCAAAGGCATTCTGAGCTACTTAATTAATTTCAAACTATGTACTTAATTCAGAGTTGAGGGTGTTAAGTTCAATCTCTATTTAAGGTGTGAGTATTATTGAAATAGTTTAAATTAAACCACAGAAAATTATTTAATAAAAGGATAGTTTGGGTAAACAAATAGGGACAATTCACCTTCTCAAATCATTTTATACAGTTACAGAGATTTCACAAAACATAATGTTAAATAATAGTAATTCATTTTCAGCCCTATATATGGATGGGATGTTTCTGCAAATGATGTTAATAGTTGATTAGGCTTGAAATAGATACTACAGATTTTGTCTCAAACTCTAATAATATGTCAGAACCCATTTGATAGAAAAAAACTCTAATGATAAATGTGTAATCATTTCCAGAGAAATTAAATCAGCATTGTGCTTTGAGATAATTTTTTTTAGTTTAGTGACAAATTGAGGCAATCTATCCCTCTCACTGAGTTTTAGGGTCTGTTTTTCAGTTTACTATTTTATTTTTCTCCTGAAGAGGAAGGAGATAAGAAAAGACAGAATGTAAGAAATGGGGTATAAAAATAGAGAAATTATATACTTCCTTTGTGTTCTGGAAAAAATAAAACACGATGGTTTGCTAATAATTGTGGGAGGTTATGTGTTTGTATGGATTCTTTGCAGTATCACTAATCTACAAAAAAAAAATGGCACATACTGTCCCTATAAGGGATAAAATAAAACAAAACAACAAAGCTTTAGAGCATGACCATCATCGACGATTTGTGAATTTCACACAGCATTTATTCATTAATCTGGTTCAGCATTAGAAAATTTACAAAAATATTTGCCCTCATAATCAGGTATATCAAGCCAAATACACTTGTACTTGAAGAATTCTCTGCTTGGGACAGTGTATGGTGTAGGCTGTAATGACACAATTCAGTTATTCTTGAGTCAAGACCTACAATAGTGAGTGACAGGGTTTTCAGGTAACATATTCAGTCTTCCAGCTCCCATTTCATCCTTCAGTTAACAGGGAGTTAAGAGCCGAATCCTCAAAACGTCCAAGAGAACTCAAAAGAGTTTGCTCAGTGGAGTTCAAATATCAGGCTAAAAGCAAATTGCAATTTTGATTTGAACCCTGCTTCCTACAAGTGTCCCAATGCAGGTGTGGTCTGGATTTGATAAAACATTAACTTTGTTCTCTATGTAAATAAAATGGTGGCTACACAGGTGCACCTGCTGTATGGTATTATGGGCAACCACAAAGTTATCAGAGTGTAACTTAGAAAAAATAAACAGAACAAGTGTGCTAAAGGGCACATTTAGATTGCCGTTGTAGATTGTGTATACAGTTAAATCATTCTGTCAAATAAGTTTAATGTAGTTATTGAATATAATGTATAGTTCACATGGAAGCTAATTTGCCCAGCATTCCCACATGTCCCCTGATTTAGTGAATATTTTAAAACTTTGCTCAACAATTACATAACAGGAAGGTATCTAAAAGTGGAGAAAGAAAAAAACATGGTGTTAAAATGTGGAATAAGCTATGCTTCCTTTTAATATCTTTTGTGAAAAGACAGAATGATGGAGAGCACTGAGAACATTTATTACTGACAGGTGTAATTTCACCCCTACTTGAAAGGCCATGACTTTAAAAGGAGATGAAAGCTTCCAGCTGATGAATGAGGGAAGAAAAGTCTGACAGGAATAACATGACTGTCTCAAGGGAATTGAGTCATGTGGTCCTGCGGTTTACCATTTGGCCATGAAGTTACAAAGATTTACAGTGTGCTCTAAAGGGGTTTGGAACCCGTTTATTTGCACTTACTTTTGGAGGGCTGATAGAACAACTTAAAGAAACTTACAGGGTGACCAGCTCATCACCCAACTAATAATAGCACAATGGTTATCAGCCACCCAGAGCAATATAACCATGACTGATGAAACCCTCCTACAACTAAGTTGGAGGGCTGATAACAAGATTTGAGATAGCCATCTGGGTATAAAAGAGCCTTTATTATTATCATTGAATAGAATCGATGGGTTTGCATCTAGAAAGGAACTTTGTAGATTTTATGGTATCAGAAATAATGTCCCAAAGGACTTTTTAGCTTTAGGTCCATTTTGATGAAAACTTTTTTTAAAAAGTTCTTTAAATGGCACTAACTAAACTAATATACATTCTGTACTATTATTTTTAAGGTGCTGAGCTAAGAAACTGAATTTCAGAAAATTAAGGTTGTAAAATAGAGAAGATAAAGTATGAATTACTATAACCTGAGAAAGAATGTGACAGTGACCTAGGAAAGACAGAAGATAGAATGGGAGACAAAAATGAGAAGTGGCTATTTCTCTGTAGGTACTAAATTTGCATACCGTTTTGTTAGATTTTGCTCTTGCTTTCTTAAATGTGAATATTTTTACCACTTCAGTACTAAGTCCAGGTTAGGGGTTGGGGGACACTGGAAGTGCTGCTGGGTTCAGCAATATTCACTCCAGGGAAATCAGTGTGCTGTCTTCTAAGAACAGAGAGCAGACTCTCATTTCTGTCCACACTTCACTAGTGTCATTTTTTTTAGAGCATTTATCAAATTAAAAGGATTATTAAAGTGATCAGAAAGAAGAGACACAAGGAGGAACCAGAATCTCTTCAATTAATAAATTACTTAGAACTACCTTATAAAGCATAAAAATAAAATAAGTAAGCAAATTCTCTGCAAATCTATAGACACTAATAAGCATTATTCAGCCTTTTTAAAAGTCTTTAAAAACATCCTGTGGGTAAAATTATGCCCAGATATAATCTGGATAAGGATAGGCCTATTAAAGTGCATTTGGTTGGTTCAAACATAGTCTAGAATTTTTAGCTTCTTTTCACTCTATCATTTTGAGGGTCATTTATAGACTATTCAAACACAATTATTATTTTCCTGGACAAAATTCATTAGTAGGCACAGGAATATGAGCACAAAAACTTATAGAATATAGCATATAAACATGCAAATATAGACAAACTATGTATTACTAGAGAACTACCAAAACAGTTACACATAAAATAGCAATTTTAAGAAATTCCACAAATGTTAAATAAACAAAAAATAGGAAAAGTGGTACACATTAATTGTGCCATGAAAAAAATCATATGTTCCATTATTACTTTGGCCTTTTATAAATATAAACAAGAAATAAAAAATAACATTAACGTTGATTACTCTGGACTACTTAAAATTATATGATATTAAATAAATATTCTGTTGATAAAAATCCAACATAAAGAGACATATCTAAATAACCTTTACACTTTAATAAATAAACCCTATAAACCAACCTTGAAACATTTCAAAAAATATATCCTTCTTCTACCAAATAGCTTCCTTCTCTCACTGCATAGTTTCCTACCTTGGAAATATTTGTAGGAACAGCATGACATAGTTATCAAGATTCTTTAGCATAACTAAATAATATCACAGAAAGAAGCTCCTAATAACTGGGAATATTATTTTGACTTAACTGGAAGTTTTGCTAGTGTAATTACACACAAGGCAATATTCCTGTTTACAAAGTCACATTATTTAACCCAACATATACTTATTTTTTTAAAGCATTTTACATTTCTGAACACAGGAAAGTACTCAAGTAGCAAATATATGTATACTAAAGCCCTTGGAAACTTTTCCAAAAAATTCATCCATACATTCCTTTATATTGAGTTATAACCTTGACTTAACAGTCTCAAACACTATGTGAATATAAAATACCCAATAAAATAAAGTTAAATGTAGGCAATCTCAAGTTATTTTTAGAATTGTATTTTATCATGAAATGTTTTCATCTAACATTTTCTTTATTCTTCTCCTTTTAATCATCCCCTCTTTCTCTGTGCACATACACACACACACACACACACACACACACATGCATCGTGTAAGCTTTACCCAGTTTTACACAAGAATTCTAACCCATTTCTGACCCTTAACATGATTATTCTGTTTCTAACTCTATTATTACTCATTAAACCTCCTGGCTTCATCCCATTGGTAACATCTGCTTTCTATCAATGCCAAAGACAACAGGTTCTTTAAACAAACTTTCTTTAAAAAATAAGATTTTAAAATATAAGAGTTGTATGGATTTTTTAAGTGAAAACCTAAGTTCCTTCATTAAATCTACAATGCGCTTTTTTTCAAAATGAGAGCCATTTACCCTAAAAAAATTCTGGAAAATATCAACATCTGTACATTGCAATAAAAGCACTACTTGTGACTGTCATTCATCAAGCTGGTGAGTAATTCGGAAAACAGTAGCAATAGCCCTTGGAGTGGAGTATATATGTAGGATGAAGCCAAAATGTTTTTCTAACTTGTAAAGGAAACTTTTCCATAAGCAGTACTTACTGCCAGTTGCTTCTTCAAGATATGAGCAGCATCAGTCTCCTGTTGATTTAGCTTAAACAAATTAAAAGGGGAAATCCAACTGAGGTGTATTCCACATGTTAACAAATCTCCTATCTAAAGTATAGCTTGAACCCCACCCTCTGGTACTGTTGGAATCAGTTATCTATTTCCTAATTACTTAGTCTCGACAACACTTGTGAATGGTAAAAAAAAATTAGATAGCTCATATCTCTAACATGAATATCCCCATATATTATAACTGTACAGATAAGTATGTGTGTATATATACACACACATATATTTGTATATAAAATTGTAAAGTAGTAAAATTGAAAAAGAAACTTTGGCTACGAAATGCTTTCTAAATGTCTCCACTACACTACATTCTAATCTAAAATAAAATTAGGCAAAACTACTTCATGTAACCTTCACATTGTTACAATACATAGGCTCCCAGTTCAATGTAATTTCCAAGTTGGCCCCACTATGAAAGATTCATGACCATAATTACATTTCTATTCCCACAGCATTAAGAAATGGAAAGCAAGTATTTCACCTTTGCAGTGACACATTTCCCAGTTCTCCTTGCACAACTTAAATTATAATACAAGCCCTCGAAACAATCCTTTTTATTCTGAATCATGCCCTTCCAACACACATAGCTTTCAGTCTGCAGCCAGAAGCTGAGCGATCACTGTCGACTTCTTTGACTTTATGGAAAATAACACAATGTTTCTCTGGTTTCTGAAGTAGGAAAATGTTGAATTCTTATATCTTGGTGTTTTCTCTTTTTTTTCTGTCTTACAATTCATTTTTTCCCTAATTCTCTAATGTTTACAGCTCTAACCCCTGGCGTCATCACCTTCTTGCCTCCCTCATTTCCTCCCTTCTCCATTCCTTGTTCTTTTTCTTACTTTCTCTCTCTCATGGTCTCTCTCTGTCTCACTGATGTCTCTTCCACTTTCTCTGTTTCTCCACCCTCTACTTTTTGCTTTTAAGAAAGGCAGAGCATCTCGATATCCTTATGAAGTAGAGAATACATGAACCAACAAGACTCTATAGTACTTATTGTTTCTTGTCTATCTAAGGAGATAGATACCGAGAAAAATTTCAGGTGCGATGAAGAAGTTTAGGGTATCACAGGACCATACAATAAAAATATTATTTAATATTCTATTTGCTATACTCTTCCTGAGAAAGTAATACTCCAGCTGCCCTCTGAAAGACATAAAATGTTCACAATAGAAAATTGGTAAGAAAATTTGATCATAATCTTGACTAGAAGGTCCCTGTCCTCTTTCACTCATGTAAGGAACCACTGTTCCCTAAAAACTAGCCTACCTGACTTTCTTTTCTTCTTCCTTCCTCTCTCCCTTCCTTCCTTCTGCAAACATTACTGAATGCATCAAAGACAAGAAAAGTCAAATGATGATTATATCAAAGTTATTATCCCAATTTAAATGCAAAAGTAGCCTGCTGGAAATTTATCTTACAGGAAATCACTCACAAAAGAAAAATAAAAATCTTAGTTTTTTTATCCGTGAAATTTTTTTTTAAAAAGCATATAATTTAGAGTGTAGATTTAAAAATTATGGCATACCCATACAATGAAATATTATTCAACCTTTAAAAAGACTGAAGCACATTTGTATGAACTTATATCACAAACTAATTCAGGTATGTTGTTATATGAAAAGAGCAAGCCATGGAAGAGCACGTGTAGAGTCTAATACCATTATTTCTAATATGGAAAAGGAGTTATGTGTTTATATCTTTAAGAAACAAATGTACATCTCTTTGTATCTATATACCTATTACTGTAGCTATGGCTACATATCTTTTTTTTAAAAAAACAGATTCTCGCTCTGTTGCCCAGGCTGGAGTGCAATGGCAGGGTCTTGGCACACTGCAACCTCTGCTTCCCAGGTTCAAGCGATTCTCCTGCCTCAGCCCCCCGAGTAGCTGGGATTACAGGCGCCTGCCACCATCCCAGCTAATTTTTTATATTTTTAGTAGAGACGGGGTTTCACCATGTTGGCTAGGCTGGTTTCGAACTCCTGACCTTGTGATCCACCCGCCTTGGCCTCCCAAAGCACTGGGATTACAAGCGTGAGCCACCACGCCCAGCCTAGCTATGGCTATATACCTTTGTACATACTATACTCAGAGTATTTCTGAAAAGACTTATAAGAGACTCTTGGAGAAAGGGACATATGATTGGAGAATGAGGTTTTCACTTTTACAATACATACCACCACTGACTTGTTTGCCCACACCTTTATTAATTTTAAAAATGTATTCATCAGCTACAATAGTTAAGAGCTTCATTGACTCTTCAGACAGCAAGTGATGTGGCCTCTCATAGGAATGCAAAAGAAAGGCAAGCTGGTCCCTATTGCCCTAAGAGGACTTTCATGGTCAGGCAGAAGCTGTCCTACCCCAAAAGCTGTAGGAGACAGATATGCTGCCTCTAAACCAATAGAAAACAATGCAGAATGACTAACTTTTGTTAAAAAACTCAGACTGTTAAAAAAAAAACTTAAGTGTTAATAAAAATAATAGGCAATACTAGGTAAATCTGACTAAAGCATATACAGGTATTCTTTGTATTATTCTTGTATCTTTCCTATAGTTTGAAATTATTTCCCAATAGGAAAATTTAAAGAAAAATAAAGAACAAAAGCTACCATGACAATGTTATTAAATAGGAGACATACAAATATTTTATTCTTATAAAAACAAGTGCATGCCTTCTTTTCATTTTATTTGCAGGTTATTTAGAGCCAGAATGAAATACCACAAGCAAAATCTCATTCTTGAAAACACATTCCTGACATTTGCTTCTATTTCTTTTATTTAAAAGGTGATGTAGTAAAGTCAGTAAGAGCATTTTGTAATGCCATTTCCTCTTGGCTATATAATCTAGTTTTCAGTTTTCCAGTCTGTATTTAAAGTAAAATGTATTAGTGTCTTTTTATGTTTAAGAAAAAGTGATTATTATGAAAACACTTTAGAAAAATCATTTTGGTATTTTCCTTCCCCTCCCATCAGGCCACTTTTTACCTTTGGAAAATAAAGTCATAGATAAGTTCATTAAGCATTTGGCTGAAAACTAAATGTTGTTCAAAAGAAAATTTATCTGCACCAGAAGTATTTCTTCAATGAAAATCATCTACCTCTCACTCTCTAAAATATGAATAAATTATTTCAGCATGACTGCAAGTAGAATTACAAATAACCATTTCTCTTTTGAGGTATGCATTTTATATGACTCAGGCATGAAAAATGTAGCTTTGAAAATTTTTCTCTGTAACTGAACTTACCTTGTGAGCCCCCATTTTCACTGGTAGCAAAACATATCATCTTGCCAATGTAAAATAAACTGTTACTTTTTTTCCAGCTCAAACTCAAAAACTCTGAGGAAAATATTTGGGCAGTTCAGAATTCTCCTCTCCCTTATCCTTTCCTAGGATTACATGTTTTTTTTTTTTCTGGTATTATATTGTCCTCTGGGGACAAGTGTCTGATACAAAGTCATTAATATCTATCCATCCTGCGTTTCTGATGTGACGTGCAATTCATACTCTTGTAAAATTTATACTTCGTTTTTTGATTGTTGTCCCTGCATTCACCTTGAAATGTAAGCATCTCACTTTGCTTTCCAGTTGCCAGTTCTATCCAGTTCATTGTGTCCTCGAAGTAATAAACTGTAAACCTTTTCATGTTTGCCTAAATGAACTTGACTTTAAGGGTCTGCTGTCAGGCCACCTGCCGAGGCACCTCATGTATTCACTGCCAATATCCAGGCACCATTCTGGACACAAAGCATTTCACTGGGGCTTGCAATCCAGGTAACACTTTGAAAGCTAGGTGAAGATACCTCTTGAGTTTCAATTGTCAGCTTGTGTCAAGACATCAATTCTGTCAAGACATCAAGATGTACCTAGAGAGCGGAGCACTGGACTGATGCCCAGGGACCCACCAGTGCCTAACTTTTAGTCACATACACTTCCAATTATCTTACTGACAGCTAGCCAAACTTTTTTTTTATCATTAGGCAGAAAAAAAAGTGCATCAGCTTGCATTTTCTCTTACTTTATTATTTTCTATATATGCCCTGAGTCCCTTAGGCATTTAGCTTTTGACAATCAAAAGATATTTCCTCTCCCCGAAATCCAGCTTTTGAAATGTGAGTTCTTTTAAGACAGTGTTTCTGTTATAAGGCTTTAAAGTTTTCTTTTGATTTGGGTCCTCCCTTCCCTAGGCCAAGCTCCTGAATGAATGAAGTCTCCTAAAGGTAAGGATAATGGTTTCAACAAGTAAAAATTCTGGGTTTAAAATCTCTTAATTTCAGTCTAATATGTAATTTTATATTCAAGTATTTTTTAAGTGAACACTTTGTCTTTGCTACCACATGAGGTAACATGTTGTATTAATTTATTTTAAAGAGCGAGAATGCAGAAAAACAAATAAGGGCCCATTATTCTACCACTCAGAAATAATTCTAGAGATTGTTTTTCCTGCTTTCCTAAATGGAGATACCAAGAGAGATAGAGTTTTTTATTCTTGAATTACTTGTTGACAATATGTTAAAGCCATTATGTATTTTCAACCTTATTAATATTTGTACAGTATTCTATCATATAGATGAATAATGCATTACTTCAGCAATTGATTGCTGTTGGAATTGAGGTCACTATCAATTTTTTCTAAATTAAAAAACAATGTGCTGAACAAATATTTTCATACATAAGTCCTTAAACACATTCATAAATATTTCCTTTGAAACAACTTTTATAAGTGGCTAAAGGATATACATATTATTCTACCTATTGTCACATATTGCTAAAATGCTCCTGCTAATAGTACAATGTGATCATGGGATCATCTCTGACTCTCAGCACTCAGCGATAGCTATTATAATGTACACATATGTTTGTGCGTGTGTGCATGTATATATGTGTAGGCATATATGTACATATATGTATGTATATGTATTATATTGAGAAGCAAAAATTGTACCTAATTATTGTTTTAATTTAGTTTAGATATTTTGCACCATGTATTTATAAAGTGATTGCTGGACATTTGGGCATTTTCACATCCATTCATCCTTCTGCTTATTTTTCTGTTAA
Source organism: Homo sapiens (assembly GCF_000001405.40). Taxonomy (NCBI): domain Eukaryota; kingdom Metazoa; phylum Chordata; class Mammalia; order Primates; family Hominidae; genus Homo; species Homo sapiens. The sequence goes on along the minus strand of NC_000004.12, from coordinate 80,603,248 downwards.
GAAATATGTTATAGTATGTCTTTTTAAAATTAATATGTAAAATATGCTAACATAGTTTTCACATTTGGCCTTTCATATTCTCATTTTGCTTACAGGGACTTTTAACTTGCCAAAGTCTTTTTTAGTCAAATCCATAATTCCTTGCTTTTGACATTTGGGGTTTGGTGTCATGCTTAGAGATCTTCTTTATCCTAAAAGCAGATAAATATTTGCTTATACTTTTGGGAGTATGGGGTCATGGGCACACACCGCCAGCACCTCATAGTGCAAATACAGCATGGGGGGCATCAAGAGAAAACTGAGAAGCAGAGAAACAATAGAGCACACCCTATCCCCATTCTTCACCTCCATCACCCAGTGCCCAGGTCTGTGTGCACATGGCCAGTGTTCCAGCAGAGAAGGGCCTTGAGTCAGTAATGCCTCATGTATTTATAAGGCCAAAGGGCAGGAGAAGCTTTGCGATCTGCAACGGGAGCAGACTTTTTCTCACAGGATGGCCTTGTTTGAAAGTGGAAGCCTCTGGGCCCCAGAGGCTGTCCTTCTGTTAAACTAATAGATTTGTTGAGCCAGCTCTCTACTAAGCAACCAAGGAAGGAAAGAAAGATTAGCCACCAGGACCAACCAGACTTGTTTCTCATCAACCTATATTAATGGTTGGTTAATTTCTATATTTAATTTCTATGCTAGAATTCTTCTCTGGTATAAGGCAGAGATCTATTATTTGGTCTCCTTTCAGAACTTTATTAGTAGTGTTAATGATTGTTCAATTAGTTCTCTTGAACTTTGGAAAAAATTACATCGTTTTCCATTATACATATTTTGGACTCTTCCTTTCCATGTATATACTTTTTTAAATTAATTTTATTATGTTATTTCTTATGTTAGAGCCACGAGGATAAGCCTGTACAACTGAAGTGATTGCAAGCATTCTTGACAAGTAGCCTGGCATTAAAAAGCTCATATCTAGCATTTCTTAACTGCCTTCCTTCATTTACATTTATTTGGAACCTGTTGAATTTTTTTTTTTAACTTTTATTTTAAGTTCAGGGGTGGATGTCCAGGTTTATTACGTAGGTAAATTTGTGTCATGGGCATTTGTTATACAGATTATTTCATCACTCAGGTATTTAGCCTAGTACCCATTAGTTAATTTTTCCTGATCCTCTCACTCTTCTTACCCTCCACTCTGTGATAGACCCCAGTATGTGTTGTTCCCCTCTAAGCATCCATGTGTTCTCATCATTTAGCTCCCGCTTATAAGTGAGAACATGCAGTATTTGGTCTTCTGTTCCTGCATTAGTTTTCTAACAATAATGGTCTTCAACAAAGGACATGATTTCATTCTTTTTGTGGATGCACAGTATTCAATGGTGTATATATACCACATTTTCTTTATCCAGTCTATCATTGACTGACATTTAGGTTGATTACATGTCTTTGCTATTGTGAATAGTGCTGCAATTTTTACTCACATTGTTCTGTCCCTTACTCTTCCCTGAGGAAATGAATGAGAACGTGATCCATGCTTATCTCACCCGGATCAAGCAATAGCCATGAGTGTGAGGTGGCGTGGTGACCCTAGGTATTGTCCACTATACACAACAAACTTTCTTTTAGTCTGACTGTTCCAAAGTCTAGAAAAGGGGAAAAAATACAACAATGGCAAGCCCATTTGCTTTCACACTAAGCCATCATTCCAGTATAGATTTATCTGTTTAAGAGTTAATATTATTTTTTCATTCTATCTGATTTTAGAATTTTCTCTCAACTAATTGCAAAGGTAGGTGGGGCATAATGAAGTCATAGTAAATAATGCCCTCAAACTCTAACAGCATTTATTTATTCATATGACTTACATCTCAAAATGCACAAAATATGGTATGTGTAGTCAAGGAAAATTTATCACATGAAAAATTTTAAGAAGTATCTAAGTCAGATCCACTCAAAATTTAGGCAAAGCTAAGTTATAGGAGCACAAATTTTCTACTTTAAATAATGTCACATGATAAAATAGTGAGATTAAAAACTAAACTTCTCCAATTAATCTTAGATAACAAAGATGTGTATAATAAGTTATCACCTCTTTGAGTCTCAATTTCATTATCTGCTAACTAAAAGCTATAAAACTTTTAAAGTTTTTTCCTATTGATTCTTCTCTCTAACCATCTGGGAAGGTTGCAGCTTTATATAACACTCTCATATATGAGTCTTAATAACAACTAATATTTGTTAAGCATTCAATAAATACAGACACCATATGAAGCACATCACTTACTCCATCTCATTTAAATCATTCTATAATCCATCAGGTGGATACAATAGTTACCCTCTTTCTACAACTGATGAAACTAAGGCATAGAAAGGGCAAAGCCTTTTTCCAAAGTGGTTCAACTAGTAAGTATCAGAATTCAACTATGAATTTAAAATTTAACTTATAGCCTACTATCTTTACCACAGAATAAGTGTAAATCCATGTCCCAGAAACTTGCTTTGTATTTTGGATACACAGAACCATTCCTCAGGAGTTGTTTATTCCCATGAAACAACAACAACAACAACAAAAAACTGACCTTTTCAATAGTGAGAAGAAAGCAAATAACCACAGTATGCAATAATTGTCATGATAGCTACAGTACAAACTGATGAAACATTCTTAATTTTGCCACTTTTTACAATTATTAAAGACTGTAAGACAAAGCTTGTTTTTAATTTAAAAGCTCACAGCAGCACAGGGAGTCCAATCTGTATTATATTTGTATTTGGAAAATAAACGTACACTGTCAAAAGAGAAAACAGACCTAAACAGAAGCTGGTTAAATGTTTGAAAATAATTCAAGGCACTATACCATTGAAGTGATTCCAAAAAGTGACATGGATGTAATATAACATCCTGAACTACATCAGAACTCCAGGATTTAGCAAAAGGGTAAAAGGGGAGTTCATTCACGTAGAGGAAGAGAAAATTTTCTTTGGACTAGTTATATCAGATAATATGTTTGTTTAAGGAAAAGTCAACAGGTGGGAAAAAGTTCTGCATGCCTAACATGGAAAGAAAGCATATTTGCGCCTAATATATTGCAGAAACTGTTTCAGTCTAACTCATTCTTTCAAAAATATCACCCTCATACAGTGGCCAAGGTCAGCTTGAATTTTGGTAATCTGCTATTTATAAGTGTAGAACATATATGTTAAACTGATCTCAGAGGCATTCGGACACCCTGACTTTAAAAAATATTTTCCTTGTTTATTATGCATGAATTACTAATTTTTCCCTTTGAGATCTGATAAATTTCAGCTTTTTGTTTGTTTTTGTATCCCAATTTCAAGTATATAACATCTAAGTTTCCCATTGATAATCAACAACCTTCTTTGCATCATTGCTAAAGGCCCATATTATGATTTGGTCGCATGCTTTACAAAAGCATTACTGTAAATATTTCAAAAATAAATGATCCCTTACAACTTAAGCACAAGTTTCAGACCTTAAAGATTCCCTGTGGGTGTAACAGTAGTATCCTACAAGATCAGGAGAAGCAGGCCCTCATTTTATGTGAAATTTGTAACAATGCAATCATGAGGTAACCTAAGAGAGTTTTGAATTTGTACTCATTGTTAATATGGGTCCTTAAATTCAATACCTCTGCAATTTTGAAGTTACACTGTGTGGACTAGTAAAAAAAAATAATAGGACAGAAGATTTTTAAAAACTATTTTCTAGACCGACTGGGTCACTAACTACATCACTTTACCTCTATAAGACTGAGGATTCTTATCTGTCATTGCCAAACCTATATAAAACAGTAGAGAATTAAGGATAGTTCACAGGATATGAATGTTAGGCACATAACTGTAAAGACCAACTAGCATCACTGCTAATAACGAGTTAGAAAAGCACCTTGCAACAACGTATGGAGATGTCTTAAGAAAGAGTGCTATCACAGGATGTAATTTCATAAACAAATTATGCAGAAAATGAAGACGATTATAGAGCTGTGGATTCAACAGCAGTGTAAAGGACAGACGTAGAGATTAGATATCAGGTGGGAGGACAGAGATCCATAATTCATTGTATGTCTTAATGATATATAGAACAGTGCACTGCATAAAACAGACACTTTGTAAATGCTGCAACTGAAATAAATGCATACTTAAAGACTTTCTCCTTGGATTTGGCCAAATAAAATCTATTTTGCATAAAGCTTTTACTTTCACATAGTTGGAGGTGGCTAGAGGCCAAAGTATGACATTTAGGCATGCCGCATACCATCTTTTGGGTATTCCTTTTCACAGAGGTGAAGTAACTCTATACTGGAAGTGATTTACTCTAAGAATGTGGTCAAGTTTCTAGCATTAGGACCCTACCTCGATATAACAAGAAGTGGGGATTCAGAGAAAGGTGTATTCTCTTACGATTTCTTTGCTTGAAAATCTGAGGAAACAGTATGTTAGGTACAACTAAATAGCTTTGCTTAAACACGATTTGCAGTTAGGAGCAATGTCACCTAGAGGAGGAAGGCCTCTAGCATACCAGTCAGAGATTTTAGGATATAATCCTATAGTATCTGGTATTTGCTATTAGTCACTTTCTTATCATATCTGCCTATGTTGAATGCCTGAATAAAGGAGAAAGAGCTAACATTTTGGATTAATTATTTAGGATTCCAAAATACCCTGATAGGCTTGAACAAATAATCTGAATAACATGAAAACACCATTAAATGCTCAAGAAAACATGTTAATTGCTGTTTTGATATTCAAACTAATCAATTCTAGTAGTAGTTAATGAAGGGCATGGCTTAATAACAATTCATATTTAAATATCTCACATTTTGGTTTGCTATAACATTGAAGTTTATATTGTGACATGACTGGCACAAGCCAATGTAATAAATCAATACAATTGTAGGTACATTTCTAAAAGTAGTATTCAGGTAATAGGAATCTATAGCACACTGTGTTCCATACTAGTACACTGTTTTGTACATTAGCCTGTAGCACAGAACTAAGTCTATTTGGGGATGATACGTTGGAGTGTCCTAGGCTCTGTCCTCAGGCTTCTTGTTTATCTATGCTAAACTCTTTAGCATAACATCTAATCTCATAGTGGCATTTGTATACTGAAAACTTCTAAACTTTTAACTTCAACTCAGACCTGCAATTTGAAATCCAGATTTTTATATTTATGCCTGCTTGACATCTTTGCTAGGATGTGCAATGGGTATCTCAATGTAACTTCACACTATATGCAAAATAGTAATTGCAGAACGGGTACGGCGGCTCATGCCTATAATCCCAGTACTTTGGGAGGCCGAGGCAGGCAGGTCACTTGAGGCCAGGAGTTCAAGATAAGCATGGCCAACATGGCAAAACCCAGTATCCACTAAAAATACAAAAATTAGCCAGGAGTGGTGGCACATGCCTGTAATCTCAGCTACTCAAGAGGCTGAGGCAGGAGAATTGCCTGAACCTGGAAGCAGGAGGTTGTAGTGAGCTGAGATTGCACACTGCACTCCAGCCTGGGTGACAGAGCAATACTCCATCTTTAAAAAAAAAAGTAATTGTAGGTAAAATATACATCTAAGTGTAAACATAAAAACAATAAAACTTCTAGACTATAACATAGGAATATATAATTGTAACTTTGAGATAGCAAAGATATCTTAAACAGCGTAGAAACATCTCTAGCAATAAAGGAAAAGATTAATAAATTGGACCACGTTAAAATTTGGAACTTTCATTAAGAAAGCAAAAAGGTAAGCTACAGAGAGGGAGAATATATTCACAGCACATATGTTTATCCAGAATATGTACAAATTGCCTACATAAGAAAAAGACAAAAGATACAGTAGAAAAATAGATAAGAAATGTGAATAGACGCTTTTCAGAAAAGGATATTAAAATGACCAATAAACACATGGATGACCCTCATTAACAATCATATAAATGCAAATTTAAACTACAATGATATAATGCTATATACTTACTAGAATATTAAAAATCAGAAATTAAAATACTAAATGTTAGCAAGACCATGAAGCAATAGGGACTCTCATACACAGTTGCTCCGAATTTATACCGGCCCAATCACTTTGGAAAATATTTGGCATTATCTAGTAAACAAAACTGAACATACATAGGTCCTATGACCTAGCAATTTTACTTGTAGGTATATAACCAATAGAAACCAATATACATATATGCACACAAAGATATGTATAAGCATAACCCCATTATTTATAGCAGTCAAAAATTGTAGACAATCCATTGTCCATAAAAAGTAAAACAAAAATAATTGTGTATCATAAAATGGAAAACCACAGAAATAAAATAGTATATACCACAACTGCACACGACAACATGGATGGTTCTCATAAACAAAATATTTAGTTTAAAAAGTCAGAAAATATGGTTCTATTTATATAACATTTAAAAATGACAAAATTGTTCTATGGTATTAGAAATCAGAATAAGGATTATCATTGAGAATAGGAGAGTTGTGACTAAATGGACATACGTAAGGCTTATTTGGTATCAGTAATGTTCTTTTTCTTATTCTGGGTAGTGATCAAATGGTTTGTTCATTTTGCAGTAATTTATGGACCTGCACATTTAACAGCTGCATGCTTTTATATGTTTGCTAAGCCTCAATTTTAAAAAGAAGTTTCTAAAGAGACACTGTATAGGGAGTATCCAGAAAAAAAAAATCAGAATGCCAAGAGCTTAAATAAAGAGTGATTAAAGAAATTTTAAATTTTAACCTTAAAAAGCCCTAAATATTTAAAAGAAAATGTGAAAGCTATCTTAAAAAATCACAGTGGGGCAGCAGTATTATTCTATATTGCTCCAAAAGACCAATAACTAAAAGAAGGCAGGTTTTGCCCGTTGCAGTCTAATTATTAGAACTTGCTGAAATGCAAATAACAACCTACAAAGGAATGAGCTGCCTATCAATGAAAATATTTAAACTATTTAAGCAAAGACTGCATAGCCATCTGTCAGAAAAGCTCAAAGGAGGATTCCCGTAATGAGACAGAGGCTGAACAAGATAAACCCTGCTCCTTTCATTTCTAAGATGCTATGGTTCATAATGAAATTGGTGTCAAACATGTATCTGTCCCTCTCTGCTTTCCTCCTTCCCTTCCTTCCTCTCTCCCTCCTTCTCCAATCCCTCTTTCCCTCTTTGGACTCCAAAAAGATAATTATATAAAATAAGATCTTTCATTTGGTCAATTCTGTTTCATTCAAGAGAGTCTCACAAAGACTAATAGGTATGATGGGAACCCTCATCAGGGGTCAGATATAAGAGTGCTATGTATTGCACGCACTGTCAAATCCACTCTCCCCAAAGGAGAAAGTATTTTGGAACTGAACGTTCCTCCTCCTCAAATATTTTTCCAAGTATTTTGGAGAACTTCACCACCTCAGAAAACACACCAGAAAATATGTCCATAATTTCCTTAGCTTGATAACTTAATAAATATTTCATACTGGATTGCAGATGTCAAAGTGGTATGCAGCATTCTTTCAAAGACACTTTCATTTCTTAGGTCCACAGAAAACCTTCAAACAACAGCAACTTGTTAAACTGTACATTCATTCCAGCATATTAATTCTCAACTAAATGAGATGTCATTTTATCTTATTACTCTTTACTCCAATCCAATAAGATGCAGAGCATTTATATCAACAAGTCACTGTAGAACTGGCCTATCAAAGAGCATCTATTGCAAAGCAACAGATACATACAAATTTTGGACAAGCCAGTGTTGAACATCATGAATAAAAGGGAAGCAGGCATAACTGGGCTTACTTTGTGGAAGAACAAAAGGAGGAAGAATGGTAATTGCAGGTGAAACATACATCTAAATGTAAACACTAAAACAATAAAACTTTTAGAAGATAACATCAGAATATGTAATTGTGAATTTGAAATACAAATATATCTGTGCTATCTTTGGGAGGGGGAAATATATCTGTGCTATCTTTGGGAGGGAGGAGGCTGCATACAAGAAGGAAACCAATCTTGGCAGAGCCCTAGAGAAATTCAGGACTCAGGAATTCCAGAGATATGGAAGGTAAGAAGGGTTAAGTGGGGCTAAAACAAGGAGTTCAGTTGATACCCTCTACCCATATGAAAAGAATTATCCATAGCCAGATAGTCATTCCCCTCAAACACCCAGGCAAAGGACTGGCGACTAATAACTAAAGAAATGGAACTAAGTCCCTGGGGAGAATTAGAGCACATAGCTTGGGACTTGGTGCCAAAAAGCAAGGCCTGCCATATTTGAGAGGGCCTCTGACTAATGGAAAGCTCCTCTCCAGTCACAGATTAATGCAAAACCTATCAGTGATTACTAACTAGTTGACCCTAACTAGGTTCACAAGAGGTAACAGTCAGCTTTTGTGTCGTGTTATTCTTAAATGTTAATGAACAACCAAGAATCACTAGATATTTGAGAAAAATCTTGTGATGTGATAGACACAAATACTTACAGAAAGAAAAATTCATCCTGGTAGACATAGAAGTAATTCAGAGAATAGAATAAAATTTTAAAACAAGCAAAGCAAAACAAAACAAAACAACAGTTCTAGTTTTCTCAGGGATCACATAAGAATGCGATACAAAGATTAAAAAAATAAAATGGTATATGATATTTTAAAATGAAAATGACATATAAAGCAAGATTATTCATGCTTTTAACATGAGGTATGTTCTAGAAAGGGCAAGGAGGAAAGAAAAATAAAAAACTAATGATATGCCTATTCAGCCCAATCCTAGTGATATGGTTTGGCTTTGTGTCCCCACCCAAATCTCATCTTGAATTGTAATCCCCAGGTGTTGAGGAAGGACCCTGGCATGAGGTAACTGAATCATGGGGGCAGTTTCCCCCATTCTGTTCTCATAATAGTGAGTGAGTTCTCATGAGATCTGATGGTTTTATAAGTGTTTGAAAAGTTCCACCTTCAATCTCTCTGTCTTTCCTGCCACCTTGTGAAGAAGGTGACTGCTGCCACTTCTGTCATGGTTGTGAGTTTCCTGGGGCCTACCTGAGCCATGTGGAACTGTGAGTCAATTAAGCTTATTTCCTTTATAAATTACCCAGTCTTGGATATTTCTTTATAGCAGTGCGAAAATGGACTAATATACCTAGCATGTGTAAATAGTAAGATCTTTACAGGAAAGGAAGAAAAGGAATGAGCATTTAAAGTTAATAGACTGAACAATCTCAGAAAAGCTAGAAAAATTTAAGAAGCTAGAAAATCCCAAATATTTGGCAACTAAAAAACAACTTTTGGATAACTCATGATTAAAATAAACTAAAAGGGAGATTAGAAAATTTGGACTGCAAGAAAATGAAAACATGACCTATCAAAATATCTGATGGTGCAAAAGTGGTGCTTAGAGGGAAATGTATAGCACTGAAACACCTGTTAGAAGAGAAGAAAAGTCTCAAATTGATGACCTAAACTTTCATCTAAAAAACTAGAAAAAGAAAAGCAAAAACCAAAGTAAGCAGAATAAAAGAAATAACAAACATCAGACATCAACAAAATGAACAACACAAAATCAGTAGACAAAAATCAATGAAGCCAATAGCTGGCTCTTTGAGAAGATGGATAAAATCTCTAGCCAGCCTGCTCAGGAAAAAAAGAGAAGACCAATATCTGGAGAGTGTGGATATCACCATAGATCCCACAGACACTAAAATGATAAGGGGATACTATAAATAACTTTATGCCCATAGATTTGACAAGTTATAAATGCCAACACGAAGCTAGCATTCAATAAAAGACAACGACCTTAATTATCATTGCAACAGTTAACACTGCAAAAGCCGTATACTGGTCAGATATGAAGAGGAGTAGCAATCCCTAGAAAAAGAATGTCAGTTAAATTGATTCTTCTGAGACTTTCCTCCCATATCTCAAAAACTGAAGCAGAGTATATATTTATAAAAGGTCATCCACCATGCCAATTCAAACAGGTATTCTTGCTATCTTAACTGCAATGAAGACAGTTGGTTCAGATTTAGATCTTCCCCTCTGCTAAGAATGAGTAAATGGAGATCAACAACGGAGTCAGACACCTACAGTTGGTCCAAAGAATAGCACCTGCCAATATATACACAGAACAACCCTGTGAAGACCCAGCTGTAAAATATATTCTTCTCCCAGACAAAATAGTGGGAAAAAGGAATGGGAAGGCTCACTTGTGTTCCGTTTTTAGCTATAGCATCTAAATAAACATAATATTGTTTCAAAAGTTAGGTTGTAAAGAGCATTGAATTATTTCACCACATCTTAGAGTTAAGGAGAAAAAGAGAAGTAAACATGATTGCTAAATTTCCGTTTCTGATCCAAACTGTGCTATAGACACCAAACTCTTAAAGTATTAAATTATATTCAACTGGAAAATCAGAAGAAAAAATGTTTCAAATATTATGCAACGTAATTTTCTCCTAATAGCAAAAACACTAAATTACAACTGTTACATATTACTTCAGTGTTTTCTGCCAAATTCACCATCATGCTTTGCAAAATAGATTGAGCCATAATTTTCATAAATTTTAAAGAGTAATCGTGGTTATATCCCTTTTAATCCTCTGAAGATTAGCTCTGTTATTTATTATAGCACACTCAACATCTTTCCTGACAACTGATTTTTATTAAAAACTTTCTTATGAGGCCCTCTTTTAACTTTGAGAAGTAAAACTGTTTGACAGAATAGCCATTTAATTTATCCATTTCTAATGATATGTTTCACATAGCAAATTATTTTTTCCTTTGCTTGTTTTGTATCATTTGTAACATGAAAGCCATGGTACTTGTTAAGGTTAGGCAGCCAGAAGTTTTTTCTTACAATTTATAGATCTGAAGAAAGAAATAGTACTATCATTTTGCATCAAGGGTCAAATAGTCTCATGGATATACTTGTCCTTTATTGCACATATACAAATCCAGAACAATCTGTAAATGCTTCCTCAGTTATGTACAATAGCAGCTTTTATAATTGCAGTAACACAAATGTTTTAAAAGGTAAAAACCCTTATGTACATCACTGCAATCAGTAAACTCACTAATTTTACCTTTTATTGCACCCACCCCATTTTGCATTCTATTTCTCCAAAATTTGTAGCAATTTTAGTAACTCTTAATTAATATTTTAATATGTGAAAAAGGTACATAAAATTGAGTTTAAAAGAAATAATAGCTTTCTTAGTTGCACACAGAGTGTGAATCCATAGACTCCAGTTTACCAATGTTTTTGAAAGTTTCTTCTGGATGGAATTAGTAAAAATCTGTTCCCACAAAAGGATTCTACTAAATGATTATTCTCTCTTTGTTAAAAATAAACCATACTAATTTTAAGGTTGTAGTTAATGTTCTCTTTGCTGTAAACCACAAATTGAACTCTAAGCAAAATGGAGGATTTATTGAAATGGTCCTGCAGTATCTCCCAAATTCAAAGACCCTATTGAAGGCCCTTCCAAACAAAGGGACAGATACATGGGTATATTAGGGACCTCAGTAGCAGGAGATTATGATCACATATTTTAAAAGATTAGCCTCAGTGACTCCTTGGCTCTGTGCCCCTCCATTTCTAAAGTCCCTTTCCAACAGAGTGAAACCTATTGGCTCAATAGTAATTGATCATCTAGGTGGAGAGGGTTAGGGATTAGTGAGGACATCCATGGTCTCTAGGGCACCTGTCCTGGATTTGCATTCCATTTCCAGAGAAGAAATAATCGTGAGGTGCCACGCCAAAGTTCGACCTCTTCGCTGCATGATTTTTGTTTGTTTGTTTCTTTGTAAACAAGTTACTAGATATAATAAATTCACCAATAATTGTTCATTTAAAAAATTTCCTAGGCCGAGGCGGGCGGATCACGAGGTCAGGAGATCGAGACCATCCCGGCTAAAACGGTGAAACCCCGTCTCTACTAAAAATACAAAAAATTAGCCGGGCGTAGTGGCGGGCGCCTGTAGTCCCAGCTACTTGGGAGGCTGAGGCAGGAGAATGGCGTGAACCCGGGAGGCGGAGCTTGCAGTGAGCCTAGATCCCGCCACTGCACTCCAGCCTGGGCGACAGAGCGAGACTCCGTCTCAAAAAAAAATAAAAAAAAAAAAAAAAAAAAAAAAAATTTCCTAAAGTATTATAATCTGTTTCTTGCTTCCATGTATGACTATAAAATATTTCAAACATAAAGTAAATTAAGAAAGATTAATATAACAAATATTTATTAACATAACTATTATACCTAATACTCAGGTAGCCAACATCCTGCTAAGCAACTTGCTCAAATCTTAACATTCTCCCATATTGGAATCATAAATTTTAAAGAAACAAAGCATTATGTAAAAGCCTATTCTTCAATCCTACTCTTCTCCCTCCTTTCTTTTCCAACCTCCTCCTACCTAGCACAATGTAACCATTTTCCTTAAGTTAAGGTATATTATTCCTCAATGTGTACTATACAGTTTTTATATGATTAGAACATGAGTATGATCATAAAAATGTTTAATTATTGTGTCAGTTTTTGAACTTTATATAAACATTTTAAATAATAAGTTATTAAGGATGCCGTGTGCATGGTTTTGTTTTGTTTTCTGAGACAGAGTCTCAACTCTGTCATCCAGGCTGAAGTGCAGTGGCTTGATCTCGGCTCACTGCAACCTCCGCCTCCCGGGTTCAAACAATTCTCCTGCCTCAGCCTCCCAAGTAGCTGAGTTACAGGCACCCGCCACCACACCCGGCTATTTTTTTGTATTTTTAGTAGAGACAGGGTTTCACCATGTTGGTCAGGCTGGTCTCGAACTCCTGACCTCGTGATCTGCCCATCTCGGCCTTCCAAAGTGCTAGTATTACAGGCATGAGCCACTGTGCCCAGCTCATTCTGTGTTCTAAATAGTGTTTTAAATACTTTTACCTGTATAAATTCATTTAATCCTCACACTTTCTATTAAATACAGTTAGTAATCCAATTTACAGATAAGGAAACTGAGACACAAGAAGGAACGAATTCATCAGTGACGGAGTGTCATTTTGTACACATCATTCCGAAACATGCCTTTTTTCCTTTTAACTGAACACGATGTCTTTGAGATGATCCTATGTTGATATAAATAATACCTATATTTTTTGCATTAATTCCTGTATAATATCCCATTGTAAGAATGGACAACAACCTGTTCTTATGTTTATGAACATTCAGGTTATGCTGCTATTATGAGCAATGCTACAATTACAATTACATGATAATTACAGGCTTGTAATTATCTCCTTGCTTATATGATTGAGAGTTTCCCTCAATCATTTATCTACTAGTATAAAGATTATACACATCTTTCTCTTTACTAGATATTGTCAAACTGCTCTCTAAAGTTGCCTAACAATGTACTCTACTGCCATCACCAAACATGGTTTCTTACTTCACATCTCACTTGCATTTGAAGTAACTGGTCTCTTTAAATTTTTGTCGACCTCGTGGGTATGAAATACAGCTCATTTTAATTCTCTTGTCTCTGATTAGCAATCAGATTAGTACAGCTGAGTGTCTTTTCCTATTGATTGAACTATTTGGCTTCCTCATCCCTGAATTGGCTGTTTATAATCTGTTCAGTTGTTGATTGGATTTTTTTTAACTAGTAAAAATTCTTTTTAAGTTATTGATACAAATGCTTTGTCAGCTTTATGTATTACATATATATGTGGCTTGTTTTTAAACATTGCTAATTATCTTTTGTCAATAAAGGATTTTAGTATTAATGAAATCAGATTTACTAAATTTTAATGGTTTGTGATTTTAGCATTTTGTTAAATAAATTCTTCCCAGAAGGTATAAAGATATTTTCCCATATTTTCATATTTAACTAATCACATGGAAGTAATATTCATGTTTTCCATGGATGAGTTTCTTTCTTTGGGGGCTCAATGGTTAATGAGCCCAGAATCTGGACCCAGATTGCTTGAGTTTAAACATGAGTTTTACCATGAACACTGGGCAAAATATTTAACCTCTCTGTGGCTTGTTTTGTCACCCAGAAATAAAGATATAAATCAGGAGTAATTGAGTTAACATATAAAGTGCTTAGAGCAGTGATGGTCATGCAATACAAGCTACTAATGTATCTACTGTTGTTATTAACATCAGTTTTATCTGATACTTCTGAGCTAACACCCCACTGTCATAAGTAATATGCTCTCTGAAGGGCAATTTTGTTCATTTGCATACTGGTTAAGAATCAGACTCTGGAGCCAGACTGCCTAGATTTGAATTTAAGTCACTCACTAACCAGTTATATAAACCTGGATAAGATGTTCAACCTCTTCGTGCCTCAAAATTCTCATCTATAAAGTGGATATAAAAATAATGCCTATTTCATATATGTAGTAAATATTAAGAGTTCAAGGATATAAAGCACTTATGAAAAATGCCCAGTACTTGGTAAGCTTTTAATATATGTTAGCTATTGCTGAAATTATAATCATTATTATTATCATTTTTTAATTGTCTTAATTAAGTATAATTGGCTGTCTTGATTCTGTCAGTTCAAAAAACACAGCATGAATTATATATGGGACATGTACTAGCAGACATAAGATTTAACTGGGAAAGCTTTTTATTACACATGTAAAATTTTTGGACACCAAATCATATTTGGGCTTTTGGTCATTTGTAAATGACCAAATACATTTTATTTTAATTCAAATGGCTATGTTTCATGTCAGGTATGTAACACTAAAGATGTCATTAAATTTTCATATAAAATGATTGATTAAATACCTAAATAAAATTATGTTTTGCTTACATAAGATTACATTATTGAAACAATGACATACTTTTTTTTTCCCTAAAATGGCTAGAACTAAGCTTTAGCATCTGTAGTTCTAGAGCACTGCAGTGGATGTTGGTAGTGTCCCTCTTAGATCTCATTTCCCAGGCAGATGTACCCAGCTCCAGACCTGCAGGTGTTAAAAGCTAATGGTTCCCACCTGTACCCTCCTTGAAAGGACTGTCCTTAGCTGACAGGAGCCACTTCTCCATCTCCCACCTCTGTGACAGCTGATGATTAATTGATGGAGAGAGGAATGGGGAAGGAAATGTATACAAGCAAATTCACCTTGCCGCAGGCAGAACAATCTCTCATATTCCAGAGCTCTCTGTGAGATCAGACTAAGACTAGATTTCAACTGAAACC